>NW_016107300.1:0-163926 GCF_000001405.40 Homo sapiens | reverse complement strand
CCTGCCTATGTAACGTATTCTCTGTGTGTTCTGTCTCCCTGGAGTGACGGTGAGTGATAGAAATTTGCATAGGCCCAGGTGCAGTACAGCAGGTGTTTAGAGTCTTCTCTGGAAAGACTGAACTGGGATTGATACACAGTGAATGTGCTTTACAGTTTCTACATCCACAACCCTCTTGACTCAAATTACATTCTCCAAGAAAAGGACACAAAAGTGAAATCAAGATCAAAAAAGCAAAGTAGAATTCTCTTATGTCAAACAGCCAGGAAATAATGATGAAGCCCATGTGAAACGTGCTACTCTTTGTGATCTCGCGAGACACATGTTAGGCTGCTGTTCCACCTGAGAGGCTGGGGGAAAGACCACCCCCTCCACCATCTATTGCTTCAAAACCACCTGTCCTCCTGTGAATTAGTAGGAAAGGGGAGCAGGAGCTAGTGCTGGTGCTGATCTCTGATTCCAAGATCTGAACTCACTCCAAGGAGTATTAGCGTTTACCTCCCCATGATCTATCTGTATCTCCACAGGTGATTGGAAGTAGGGGTGAGGTGGGGGATTTGGGTGAGGGGGCAAGTTTCTTGTGATGAACAGAGCACTTTCCCTATTTCAGGGCCTGTGCTGGTGGGTTCAGGGGGCTTTCATATTTTCCATATGATCTCATGTTCACAGAAAGCCAAATATGGAAGAGGTTTTAGGCTGATTTTCTAATGGATAAGATAAAGGATCAAAGAAGTAATTATAGAGAAATAGAAAAATGATGATTGGAATTCAGGTGCCTGCATCATTTGTGTATATTATTATATTTATGTATTTTTTATTTTTATTTTTTGAGCCAGAGTATCCCTGTGTAGCCCAGGCTGGTGTGCAGTGACGCGATCTCCACTCACTGCAACCTCTGCCTCCAGGGCTGAAGTCATTCTCCTGCTTCCTCCTCCAGAGTAGCTGGGATTACAGTCATGCACCACCATCATGCCTGTTTAATTTTTGTATTTTTAGTAGAGATAGGGTTTCTCCATGTTGGCCAGGCTGGTCTCGAACTCCTGACTTCATGTGATCCACCCGCGTTGGCCTCCTGAAGTGCTGGGTTACAGGCGTGAGCCACCGTTCACAGCCTTGTATATTATGCTATACTAGGTCCCTTCATTTGCACCACCCCTCATCTAGCTCTCCCTCCTCTGCCAGGTATTGATTTAGATGCAGGAGAAATAAATCTCAGAAATAAGTTAGTGAAGCGAGGATTAAACTACCAGGAAAAAATCAAACCCAGCAAGCCTTTCCAGCCAATGATTCTACCTCACAAACATATCTTATATCCATCTACTTCATTCATTTAGTGTCTAAATCAGCACCACATTTCACCAGTGGGGCGGGAATTGCCTTTTCCACGGTCTCCTAGATTCCAGTTACGCACCTGGGCCTCCCTTATTTTCATGTCAGTCATATTAATCATGTAGGGATTCCTGGTTACCCCGAGGTGAGTCCAATGGCTGTGAGTGTCAAACACACACTCCTTGTTGCTCCTTAGTTTCCTGTGTACCCAGTGTGCTCTCCGTCTCTCTACAGTCGTCTTGTCATTCTCCCCACGTCATTCCCAGCATTTGAGGCAGAGCCTCTTCCTTCAACATCAGATTATTTTCACCTTTGTGCCTTCACGGCTGACAGCTGTGTGTGCAAAATCCTTCCGCCCATCTTTCAGGGGTTCAATCCGTGTTTTTCATTAATGTCACAAATATCTGATTAGTGAGAACTTCTCTGTCACCTGAAATCATACACTCAGCATTATCTATTATTGATTTGAAAATTTGGCTTGGCCCCGTGGCTCATGCCTCTTATCCCAGCGTGTTGGGAGGCAGAGGCTATTGGATCACCTGAGGTTGGGAATTTGAGACCAGCCTGGCCAACATGGTGAAACATCCTCTCTACAGAAAATATGCAAAAAGAGTTAGCCGGGCGTGGTGGTTGTGGTCTGTAATCCCAGCTACTGGAGAGGCTGAGGGAGGAGATCCGTTCAGCCCAGGAGGTGGAGGTTGCAGTGAGCCGAGATCATGCCACCGCACTCTAGCCTGGACGACAGAGCAAGGCTCCGTCTCAATAAACAAGTAGGTAAATACATAAATAAATAGATTTCATGCACAGATGCTTCTCAATAGATCATTCATTTATTGGTCCCCTTGTGCCTACATTTTCTGCCCTCCCATTTAACCATCTGCAAGATCAGTGTCCCAAGAACAGAGGCCAAATGCATCTTGTTCACTGTTTGTGGAAGGCAGGAGAATGTTGTCCCACCCCAAAAATGTCCATGTCCTAGCCTCCATAGCTTGTGAATATGTTATTTTACATGAAAGGAGGAATGAAGATTGCAGATGGAATTATGGTTGCTAGTCAGCTGAACTTAAAAGGAGGGTATCCTGGATGATTTCCGGGAGATTATGATGGATTTTCATCTTGGTGAACCCAATAGAATCCCCAAGTTTTCAAAAGAAGGGGAAGAAGGGAGAGCAGCATTCAGAGAAAGAGGTGTGGTAAGGAAGAAGGGTCTGAGTGATGCCATGTGAGATGTGACCAGTCTTTGTGGGCTTTGAGGAAGGAGGAAGGGTACCAGGAGCCAAGGAACATGGGAGCCTCTAGAAGCTGAGAAAAGTGAGAAGCAGATTCTTGCCTGGAACCCTCAGAGGGAAGGCAGCCTTGCTGTCACCTTGATTTTAGCCCAGTGACATGCACGTCATGCTTTGAGCTACGGCACTGTAAGATAATTAAATAACCGTTTTGTTTTCACCCACGAATCTTGTGGAAATTTGTTATGGCAACAATAGGAAAAGCTTCCACACTGCACAGCCTGAGCATGGGGCTGTGGCTGAATGAGTCAGTGAGTCGAAGTGTGCGTGCATGAGCTCTGTTCTCTGTTACGGCAAGGCTCTTGCTCTGCTGAGTCAGCCAGGGTTGCCTGATGACCAACAGTAATTCATTCCTTGGCAAGTGGAACTTCTCTAAAACACCCACCCTCATCAGATGTTCCCTTCCCTTCCCTCTCTCAAGCCCCCGGGAATTTATCCTCCAGTTAGGAATGCAGGCAGAAAAAACACTGCATGTTTCCTGAGAAGGATGTCAGATTGGCAATTATTCTTCTAGCTTGTAGGAGGTCTCACCTGCAGGAAATTAAAGGTAAAGAGACTTCGCTGAGCCCTTTGGTGGCCCTAGATCCCTTTCACTGTTGGAGTGTCTGGAGTTCAGAGATGGTGGAAGACAGGCCCTCATTCACAGAGCTGGGAGGTTTGAGCCAACACTTGCATCCAAGGCTTCCACCTCCCCAGGTTTCCAAAAGCAGAGATAAGAGGGGTCCTTTACTCACCAGATTTGGAGCTTGGTTCTGTGGGTGAAGGCCAACTACTTGAAGGGTTTCCTAGAACACGGGACAGGAGAGATGTGAGGAAATGAGGGTGCTTGTCCTCTACTCAATGGAAATCTTTGAGGTTGGTTCATGGCCAACACTCTGTTATCTAATGTTGGACCCTGGGAGTCTTGGGATCCTTTTCTCCATAATTTTTGTGTGCGATGCCCACTGTCTTGAGACTTGAAGGTATAAAGAGAAAACAGGAGCATCACACTACCTGACTTAGAAATATGTTACAGAGCTGTAGTAAGCAAAACAGCATGACATTGGCATAAAGAAAGGCACATAAAAAATGGAACAGAATGGAGAACACAGATATAATCCATGCATTTACATCCAATGGCTTTCTTTTGTGTGTGTGTGATGGAATCTTGCTCTGTCATGCAGGCTGGAGTGTAGAGGTGCAATCTCAGCTCAATGCAACCTCCACTTCCTGGATTCAAGAAATTCTCTTGCTTCAAACTCCTGAGTAGTGGTATTACAGGCACTGATCACCATGCTCAGCTAATTTTTGTATTTTTAGTAGAGACGAGGTTTCACTCTGTTGGCCAGCCTGGTCTTGAACTCCTGGCTTTAGGTGATCCACCCGCCTCGGCCTCCCAAAGTGCTGGAATTGCAGGTGTGAGCCACCATGCCCAGCCCATTTAATGGACTTTGACAAAGGTGCCGAGAACTTACAATCAAGAAAGGACAGTCTTCAATAAATGGTGTGGGGAAAACTGGATATCTACATGCAGAGGAATAAAACTGCATCTATACCTGTCACCTTACACAAAAATCAAATGAAAATGGATTAAAAACATGAGTCTAAGGCCTGAACCTATGAAACATGTAGAAGAAAATAATGGGGAAGACATTTGTCTGACGAAAGACATTTTGTTTAAAACCTTCAAAACACAAGTAATCAAAGCAAAAAATAGACCATTAGGATTACATCAAACCAAGCAACTTCTGCACCACCAAAGATAAACCAACAAAGTGAAGAGACAACCCACAAAATAGGAGCAAATATTTGCAAACTATTCATCTGAGATGGGATTAATAACTGGAAATATAAGAAGCTCAAACAACTCAATAAAACAATTTAATTAAAAAACGAGCAAAAGACATGAGGAGACATTTCTCCACAAACAAAACATAGAAATGGCGATCACGTATATGAAAAAGTGCTCAGCATCACTCATCATCACAGAAATGTAAATTACAATCGCGATGAGTTTTCATCTCATCCCATTAAAATGCCTTTTAGGCCGGTGGCTCACGCCTGTAATTCCAGCACTTTGGGAGGCGGAGGTGGGCGGATCACCTGAGGTCGGGAGACCAGCCTGACCAACATGGAGAAACTCCCTCTCTACTAAACATACAAAAATTAGCTAGGCGTGGTGGCACATGCCTGTAATCCCAGCTACTTTGGAGGCTGAGGCAGGAGAATCAGTTGAACGCGGGAGGCAGAGGTTGCAGTGAGCCGAGATCACACCCTTGCACTCCAGCCTGGGCGACTATGAGTGAAACTCCATCTCAACATAAATAAATAAATAAATAAATAAAGTAAAATGGCTTTTATCTGCAAGACAGGCAAAACAAATGCTGGCAAGATGGTAGAGAAAGGAGAACCCTGGTACCCTGTTGGTAGGAATGTAAATTAGTACAACTATTATGGAGAAAAGTATGGAAAAACTTTAAAAAACTAAAAGGAGGCTGGGCATAGTGGCTTATGCCTGTAACTTCAGCACTTTGGGAAACCGAGGCAGGCACCTCACTTGAGGTCAGGAGTTTGAGAGCAGCCTGCCCAAAATTGGGATATCCCGTCTGTGCTAAAAAATACAAGAATTAGTCAGGCATGGTGGCGTGCACCTGTAATCACAGCTATTAGGGAGGCTGAGTCAGGAGAATCGTTTGAACCTAGGAAGCAGAGGTTGCAATGAGCCAAGATCGCACCACTTTGACTCCAGCTTGGACTAAGGAGGGAAACTCTTTCTCAAAAAAGAAAAAAAAAAAAGAGAACTTTCATAGTGTCCAGCAATTTCACTACTGGGTTTATATCCAAAGGAAAGGACATCAGTGTATCGAAGTGATATCTGCACTCATATGACTGTTCCAGCACTGTTCACAGTAGCCAAGATGTGGAGTCAACCTACCTGCCTATCAGTGGGTGAATGGATAGAGAACTGTAGTACACACACACGGTGGAGACTACTCATCCATAGAAACAATAACATCCTGTCATTTGCAGCCACATGGATGGAACTGGAGGTCATTACAAAGATTCCCATTTCTCACCACATGCAGGAGATAAAAGGTGGATCTCATGAAGGTAGAGAATAGAATGGTGGATACCAGAGGCCAGGAAGGGAAGGGTGGAGGGTAACAAAAAAAAGAATATAGATGTATTTATTTATTTAGAAACAGAGTCTCTCTCTGTCTCCCAGGCTGCAGTGCAGTGGCATGATCTCGGCTCAGTGCAACCTCTGCCTCCTGGCTTTAAGTGCTTCTCCTGCCTCAGCCTCCCAAGTAGCTAGGACTACAGGTGCATGCCGGCATGCTTGGCTAATTTTTCTTGTCTGTTTAGTAAAGATGAATTTCCCGCATGTTGGCCAGGCTGATCTCGAGTCCCTGATCTTAAATGATCCACCTTTCTTGGCCTCTCAAAGCGCCAAGATTACAACCGTGAACCACCACACCCAGCATATAAAGGTATTTATGACCACTAGATTTTACTTTTAAAAATGGTAAAGTTGGTAAATTATATAGTTACATTTAACCTCAATAAATATTTTTGAAAATGAAAAGAAAAGAGTGTAGGGGTTGCTGGTGATGACATCTCTCTGTGTGGGTGAGAGGCCAGGATGGGCTTCTGGGAAATGGGTAAGGTTGAGGGGCTGAGGGAACCTCTGATCTCCCCAAACTGAGCCCAGTCTCCCCTTCTCTGGGTCTGTCCTGACCGCTTTCTCCATCTGCCTGGGTGCCTGGAGCCCTGACCATGGGCCTCCATGCAGGCCATGCAAGAGGGTTTGGAGGTGCCCTGTCTGCCATCCTGCACCCTGACCCCCCCCTCACACCCAGTCTTCGTGTTCTCTCTGCATCTGTCCATGCTTCTCCCCATCATCGGCAGGAAGCTCCTCAGCTATGGCTCTAGGATCATAAGACATGGGACAGACACGGGTTTTCCTCACCTGTGACAGAAACAAGCAGTGGGTCACTTGAGTTTGACCACACGCAGGGCAGGGCACGGAAAGAGCCGAAGCATCTGTAGGTCCCTCCGTGGGTGGCAGGGCCCAGAGGAAAGTCTGCCTGGAATGTTCTGTTGACCTTGGGCACTGCACGGAGCCTACGTTCATGGGCCTCCCCTTCCCTGGACAGATGGTAGATGTCATAGGAGCTCCAGGAGCTACAGGACAAGGTCACGTTCTCTCCTGCCTGAACCGTGGGGCCCGGCTGGGCTGAGAGAGAAGGTTTCTCATATAGACCTGGAAGGAGAAGAGGCAGTTTCCTCAGGGAGGTTCTTCCTTGTCACAGCTCCCCTCATACCTGAGCTGAGAACTCACTCCCCTGCTCTATGACCTAATGCTCTCTCTCTCTCTCACCCTCCACCCCAACTCTCTTCATGTCTATTTCCTCCTTCCGCCTTCTCTGTCTCTCTAGGTCTCTGACCTCACTTCCCCACCCCTGGGTATGCTTTCCCTTTTTGGATTGTTTTATTCTCTCTGACTCTCCTTGGATTGGTTGACTTGATCTTCCTTTTTCTATAATTCTGAGTCTCTCACTTTCTGTCTTGTTCATAACTTTCTGCATATTTCTATCTATTATCTATCTATCTATTTTGTGTCTATCTACAAATTATCTGTCATCTATATCTATGTATCATTTATCTATCAATTGTCTATCTGTCTATCCATCAATCATCTATGTATTATCTGTATCTATGTATCATCTCTCTCTCTCTCTATTACCTCTCTGTCTGCCTGTCAGTCTCTATGTATCATCTATGTATCTATATATTTATATATGTGTCTTCTATCTATCTATCTTCATCATCATCATCATCATCATCTCTATGTATCATCTATCAATCATCATCTATGTATCTATAACCTATCCATTATCTATCATCTACCTATTTATCATCTATCTATATCTATCTATCCATCTATCATCTGTCTCTCTCCATCTCCTTGTCTTTCTCTGCCTCTCAGTCTCTCTAGTTCTATTTGGAATCTCTGCAATCCATCCCCACATCTTTATCTTTCTCTGTCTTTGTGCCCCTCCCTCAGGGTTCTGATTTTGGGGCTTTTCTCTCCTCCCTTCCAGCATTCTCTCCACTCCTCTGCCCTCTTTTCTTTCTTTTTGTGTGTCTGTGAGTCTCTCAATCCCCTTCCTCTGGCTCATTCTCTGTGTGTTTATGCCTTTGCTTTTTGAAGTCCCTGATTTATCTCTGTGTCTCTCAGTGATCCTATTATATGTAGGATTATTTGGAATATGAGCCTCAGAATCTAGTCTGGGGACACCAAGTACACACAGTATTTAGGGGTTGGTGTTCTGGGGCCATGATATCCTGGGATAATTATGGCTCCACTGCATGGAAGGCAGAGGTGTCAGAATAAACATGGCATCTGTAGATGCCACAAGGCCTGAGGCCACAGGGCCCAACTCAGGTCAGAAATATGGGTGTCCTTGGGTTCTCCTCGTAGAAGCACTTTGTGGAGACAAAACAGAAATGAAACTTCTAACCTGTGCCAGGTCTCTGAGCAAAGTCAGCATGGAAGGACACTTCTCTCTGGCACATGTCTGTCTGTCTGAGTGTCTCCTTTACCTCTTTCTCTCTTTTCTACTTCCCCGTATGGCCCCTGTGTCTGTCCTCTGTTATGACACCTGGTCTGTACTTATGTCTCCTGTTTCCCTGTCTCTGTTGGTACAGACCTCACCGAGTCAGTCTCTCTCCATAAGAATCCCACGCTTATCTTCCTCATGACCACCTGGGGGTTCCAAGTCCTGGATCATTCACTCTGTGTCCCAATGACAATGAGAAGAATGTCTGGACACTCTCACCTGTGATCACGATGTCCAGGGGGTCACTGGGAGCTGACAACTGATAGGGGGAGTGAGGAACAGAACCATAACATCTGTAGGTTCCTGCAAGGACAGGCATCAAGGGACCGATGGAGAAGTTGGCCTTGGAGACCCCATCATGGATCTGTCCAACGAGGCGTGAGGGGTCCTCAGAGATCCCCTCTCTGTGCAGAAAGAAGTGCTCAAACATGACATCTGACCAACACTGCAGGATGACTGTCTCTCCTGATTTCAGCAGGGGCCCTGGGTGGGCCAGGAGGGAAGGTTTTCTGTGGTTTCCTAGAAAGAGAAGTTGTGAGTTTAGAAGGCATCTCTCTTTATCATCCCATCCATGGCACCTGGAATGAGTGAGGGTTCCCCTCCCAGAGGTCTGTCTCTCTCCTCCCTCTCTGTGTCTCCGTGTCTTTTCTGTGCCCATATCCCCTGGTGCAGGTCCCTCCATTTGTCTTCCTCCCTCTTCTCTGTCCCTCTGTCTCCAGTAGCCCCTGACTCCCTTCCCACTGTGAAGAGAGCCTCATCTCTTGGGCTGTTGTATCTCTTTCCCACTAGTCTCTTTCCTGCTGTCTATGTGGGGGTGGAAGAGGACAGGCTGCATGTCCAGGCTCTCAGCAGCCTGAATCAATCTCTTTTGAACAAATTGGAGTCTCTGGCAGAGGTATCAACTCATCAGTAAGGCAGACATCAGTGTCCACACACCCTGTTCCTGATGGGGATTGGGAGCCTCTCCTGCCATGTCTGTGCCTTCTCCATGGCCCCAGCTTCCATAGGGTGGTCCCTGGTGCTGGTTCCAGGAGCATCAACCCCTTCCTATGTGGATGGAGCCTGGTGGTGGCATCAGCATCCCACCCTTGCTGATCCCACGGTAGCCAACCTTCTCCTTGTTTGGTTTCTTTAATTAATTGATTAATTAATTTATTTTTGAGACAGTCACTTTTTCACCCAGGCTGGAGTGCAGTGGTGTTGTCTTGGCTCACTGCAACCTCTGCCTCCCCGGTTCAAGTGATTCTCTTGCCTCAGCCTCCCCAGTCGTTGGATTACTCGTGCCCACCACCACACCTGGCTATCCTTGTTTGGTTTCCTAGCTTGTCCTTGACCTGGGTTCCTGTGTCGGTTTCCTGTTGCTGCTGCAGAAAATTATCACAAACATGGCAGCAGGAGAGAACACACTGACCCCTTCCACTTCTGGGGACAGAAATTGGATCCAGTTCTCCCTGTGCTGAAATCAAGGCATCTGCAGGGCTGCGTTCCCTCTGGAGACTCAGCGAATCAGTTCTCTTGACTTCTCCAGCCCTTAGAGGCCACCTGCATTCTGTGACTAGTGGCCTTCCTCCACCTTCAAAGCCCACAGTGGCTGATAGCGTCTCCCTCCCACTACACTGCTCTAATCCCCACTCCCCTCTTCCTCCACCTCTCACGCGGACCCTTGTGATTACACTGAGCCCAGCAGGACAGTCCAGGCTGTCTCCCCATCTCAAGGTCAACTCATCAACAACCTGAGCTCCACCTTCCCCTTCAGTCCCCTGCCCTATAACATAAATAGTCACAGGCTCCAGGGTTTACAATGTAGCCATCATTGGCGACAGTTATTCTTCCCACCACAGCGCCCATTTCCCCTGTATTCAATCCCCCTTGACCCCAAATACAGTTGGGGCCTGGGTGATGGGACCCTGATGGACACCCCCACCAGAAGCTCTGGGATTCAGGAGGTGGGACAGTGAGAAGCCCAGACAGAAAGCCTCTGACCTGTGACCATGATCACCACGGGGTTGCTGGGTGCCGACCACCCAGTGAGGGAGTGTGGGCGTGAACCCCGACATCTGTAGGTCCCTGCATGTGCTGGGGTCACAGGGCCCATGATGAAGCTCTCCTGGAATATTCTGCCGTGGAAGATGGGAACGTGGCTTCTGTCTTCTTTGTACAGCATGAAATTGTTAAACCCACGACGATAGTGACACTGAAGAGCCACGTGTCCTCCTCGAGGCACCACAGTGCTGGGCCGGGCAGACAGGAAGGGTTTGTCCTGACCACCTGGGGGAGAAGGAGGCACTGCCTTAGAGAGGAGGATGTGGAGCCACCCCTCCCTCCCTGTGCTCAGAAGATTCTCCCATTTCCGCTTTCTAAGGCTCCTACCACACCTGGGTGCCCAGGGCTACAGGAAGGACCCACCCCACATAGACATGGCGTCTCCCTACAACAAGTGTCAGCTGAGAACTTTGAGCAAGTGCTGAATAAGTGACTCTTACTAGATTTTAATACTGCAAAATTACTCACATAAAACAACACAAAGTAGACACGGCATGGAGGGCATGTCCTATGTGAGTGGAATATCAGCCAATTCATGAACTGAGCCCCCTCAGAGGATTTGGAATGTCAGGGCCATGGCTGTGGTTTCCCCCCTCTTCTGGTAGAAAGACCGCAGCCACACTGCAGCCCCTACCGTCACGGAAACGCTGGAGGGTGTCAGTTATACCTTTGTCCTCAGAGGACCTGCTGTTCCTAGCACTGCTTCCCTCTCTTTCTCTGCTGCTGACACCACTTCCTCCCTGCACACCCCAGCTTGGAGCACCCCAGTCTCACCCCAGTCTTCACAGAGCTTGACTCAGGAAAGGGAAAGAAAGGCCAGGGAGGGCGAGGTCAGAAATGTGGGCCGAGTATCCAAGGGTCCCCTCTTCCTAGTTTATGAGAGACTCCCCGACAGGACTTCCCTCCTGTTTCAGAAAAATCCTCTTATGTGGGGAGATGACACCCTAAGGTTTGGGGACGGACTCACCCATGAGTGGCCAGGCCCCCTGCAGCAAGAAGAACCCTGGAAAGAAAGATCATGATAGACGATCCAACTGCAGGCAAACCAGGGCACCCTGCTGCCCCCACTGCACTGTGTGTCTTGGCAGCCAGGCCCTTGCTGGGCTGAAGGTAAACTTAGCCTCCCTGCTACCTGCTGCCAAGAACAGGGCTCTCAGCTGTGGAGAGACCCAGGCTCCAGGCCCAGATCAACACTTCCTGGCCCAGATCTCCACTCCAGGCCCATATCTCCACTCCAGGCCCCTATCTCCACTCCAGGCCCATATCTCCACTCCAGGCCCATATCTCCACATCAGACCCATATCTCCACTCCAGGCCCAGATCTCCCCTCTAGGCCCATATCTCCACTCCAGGCCCATATCTCCACTCCAGGCCCATATCTCCACATCAGACCCATATCTCCACTCCAGGCCCATATCTCCACTCCAGGCCCAGATCTCCACCTGCAGGCCCATATCTCCACTCCAGGCCCATATCTCCACTCCAGGCCCGTATCTCCACTCCAGGCCCATATCTCCACACCCAGGCCCATATCTCCCCTCCAGGCCCATATCTCCACTCCAGGCCCATATTTACACCTCCAGGCCCATATCTCCACACCCAGGCCCATATCTCCACTCCAGGCCCATATCTCCACTCCAGGCCCATATCTTTACCTCTAGGCCGAGATCTCCATCCCCACTCTCCCTCCCTCTATTCCCTTCCAGGACTCACCAACGCACGCCATGCTGACGACCGTGAGCGACATGGTGCTGCCGGTGCAGACAGGAGGCCGCGCCCCAGCTCAGCTCAGCAGCGCACAGGATGTTATTTGGCGCCCTGCCCATGCAGTTTACATGTTGACCACATCATGGGAGGGTGACGTACGCAGGCTCTTTCTACCTTGCATGAGGCCCAGTGGGTGCTCGCTCAAGAGCGGAACATGGCTTCCTGGAAATTGTTGTGACTACAATTGCCACCTTGCATCCTTCACTATGACCAGACTCAAAAGACGTCTCAGATCCAACCTCTCACACATGAGGTGATTGAATTCTGTGCTTACATTAAAGACTTTTGATGTATTTTTGTTTTTATCTGAGATTCAAACTTTTCTTCATGTGTAATGTGCAAAATATCTAAGAGGTATTATTAACATTATCAGAGTAATTGTGACAAAAAGCCATTCTAATTTTCCTGATGAGTTTCTAGTACTAAACCTGAGGCACGAGAATTGCTTGAACCTGGGAGGCGGAGGCTGCAGTGAGCTGAGCTCAAGCCACTGAACTCCAGCTTGGGTGACAGAGGAAGAGTCTGTCTCAAGAAAGAAAAAAAAAAGCAAACTAAATAACCTATAATAACAAATCAGAGAACTCAGGTTACCAAATTTTAAGGGGTTCTATAAGTTTATATGAAATGCAGCATCCTCATGAGAGGGGATACAGAGAACCACTGGGCAGAAAACTGTGTCTAAAATACATCTGTGGATACACAGTCCCTTTATAGTTGACAAAGGCTGCCATGTAGTTTAAGGTGGAATAGAATATTTTCTCAACAAATAACACAGGACCATAGGGTTACACGTAGGAAAAAATAAATCTAAACTTATCCTCACACTATAAAGACACTTCTTATTTTTTATCTTGTTGTTGTAAACTTTTTATGCTTTATTTTTAAGATTGACAAATAAAAATTATATACTGTGGTCCTTCACTATTCCTGGGTGATTGGTTCCAGGATCCCCATTCAGATACCAAAATCTGCAGATGCTCAAGCCCCTTGCATGAAATGGCATAGCGAAGCTGGGCACCGTGGCTCACGCCTGTAATCCCAGCACTTTGGGAGGCTGAGTTGGGTAGATCACGAGGTCAGGAGTTCAAGACCAGCTGGTCCAACATTCTGAAACCCCGTCTCTACTAAAAATACACACACAAAAAAATTTATCTGTGCATGGTGGCACGTGCCTGTAATCCTAGGGGAGGCTACTGGGGAGGCTGAGGGAAGACAATCGCTTGAACCTGGGAGGCGGAGGTTGCAGTGAGCTGAGATCATGCCACTGCACTCCAGCCTGGGTGAGAGAGTGAGACTGTCTCAAAAAAAAAAAAAAAATAGCATAGCAATTGCATAGAACCCATGCACATCCTCCTGTATACATGAAATCATCCCTTGATTACTTATAATTCCTGACACAGCCTACACGCCACTCAATTTGTGTCGATTCAACATAGTTTTTTGCTTCTTGAAACTTCGGGGATTTTTTTCTGAAAATATTTTTGATTTATTGTTGGTTCAATAAACACCTGTAAACCCCACAGATATGGAGGACCGACTGTATATTTATATTATGAAAGATGATATGTTGATATGTGTCCCCGTGGAGATGAGACTAACAAGGCCTATGACTCTACAAATGTTTCATCGTGGAATGACTCTGCCAGCTTTCCAGGTCTGCAGAGAGTAAGAATATCACTTGTTCATGTGATTCACGATCCTTGGAGCCTCCTATGTGCTGTATCTTTGGATGGAAATTGGAGTCTCAGAGACAAATCAGGCTCCATTCTGCTTCCAGAAGCCCAGAGTCCAGGGCTGAGAACCCAATGGAGAACAGATGGGGTTATGTGGACATGGTAATGATAACACCGGAAGCCTTAGGCAAGAAAAGAGTCTCGTTACCGAAACCATGAGGGCAGACATGTTTATTTGAAGGCGGGAAAACTACATTGAAATTATTTAAAAAATTTATAAGTTTTACTGCTGGCAGAAGGCTGAAAGATAGTCTGAAGGGAGGTGGAACAGCACGTGTCTAAGTGCTGTGTTAAGAGGCAGCCTCTTGTATGTTTGGAATTGTGAGTTCCTCAGTGTGATTGCAGCCTCAGGTAGACTAGGAAGTAAGCCAGTTAGGTTGGAGAGGTGGGCAGGGGTCAAGTGAAATGGAGAATTGTGGGCTAAGCAAAGGAGTGTGTTTTCTCTCCAGCAGGCAGTGGGGACCTTAGACATTTGTAAGCAAGAGAGAGGCATGTTCAGATTCGTGGTGTGAGGAAGAGCGATGCCCTAAGATGAAGACTGATGCCTTCAGATTCCAGCTGCTGGTACATGGGAGCTGGCAACCCGGTTTTGAGACAGGGCTGTTGTCTCCCTAGAAGATCCCCTCAAGGCCTGACTGTGGTGCTCGTGGACAGAAGACAACTTTGGATCTGGGCTCAGCATTTGGAAGTTCTATGTACATGCTGGTATCTGTTGGGGGTGTCTTGGGCCTCTCAGAAGGGCGAGTGATTTTTCTCTGTGTGAAAACACAGTGATCCAATTATGCGTATGACACCTCCTGATGGTCTTGTTCATCAGAATCCTGGAGAGAGGGAAATGCTGAGTGAGGGAGGGTGCTCACATTTTTCAGGACTCTTTGGGAATAAGACTAGCCACGAGGCTGGGCCGAGGAGCACCTACCTCGCTGTTCACTGTTCTGTTCCCTGCAGGCTCTTGGTCCATTACAGCAGCATCTGTAGAAGACGGAAGTCAACAAAAGAGCTCGGAGGGCACTTCTGGGTCCTCATTTCATAAGCAGATACCAACAAACAGGGGGAGGCCATAGGTGCCTGAGGTCCCTCAGTTGCCAACAGCAGACTCAGACATTCTATCTCTCTGAGTTCAAGGACCCATCCCATGAATAGCTCTGAGGTCCCATCCCATTGATTCTATCTCCCACTTTCTGCCTGTCATGGAACCTTCTCCTGGATGTGAGTGGCTGCAGGGGACGTGAGGATACAGTTCAGAATCAGGCAATGGTCTGTGAGCTGAAGGCAGGGGAAGGGAATCTGGTGCTCTCTCTAGAAAGTCCTGCCTCTGTGGCTCCTGTCTTGGGCCAGGGACCATCCTGCTGGTGAGGAACACACATCCACGTGCTCCCATCCTGCTTCCCCACATGGCCCTGAGCTCTCTGGCCTCTGCTTCGTGAGACTTACTTTTTTTGTCGGAGCACCAGCGATGAAGGAGAAAGAAGAGGAGGATGGTGAAAGGGATTTTGACCACTGAGGTCCCAATCAGAACATGTAGGTGTCTGGGGTTACCTGGAAGAAGAGGAGACACCAATAAGAAGCTAATCATAGCAGTTCCTCTTTATGAATTGTCTCGCATTTCTTGATTGGCAGGTAACCACATACAACGTCTCTTTAGGACAAGCACCCAAATGGCGGGAGACCTAGCTTTCCCCTGCTTTCTCAATTATAGCTCTCATAGTAACCATAGAACGTGCTGAGGATACAACTACTTTAGTTGAGATGTTTGACCCTTTCAAACCTCACATTGAAATTTCACCCCCATTGTGGGAGGTTGGGCCTCTTCAGAGGTGTTTGGGTCATGGAGGTGGATCCATCATGAACAGATCAATGCTGTCCCAAGGAGACGGGGTTAGCAAGTTCCCCCTCTGTTAGTTCCTGGAGAGCTGGTTGTTAAAAAGAGCTTGGAAGCTCCATCGCTCCCTCTCCCCCTTACTCTCTCTCTTGCCGTGTGATCTCTGCGGTCTCTGCACAGACAGACCCTCCTTCCCTTCTGCCAGAGTGGGAGCAGCCTGAGGCCGTCACGAGAAATAGATTCTGGTGCCATGCTTCCAGTACAGCCTGCAGAACTGTGAGGCAAACCAATCTCTTTTCTTTAGAAGTTACCCAGGCTCAAGTGTTCCTTTAGAGCAACAAAAATGGACTAAGATAGCAACATCCTGAGATCAGGAGGAATGTCTCAGAACAGCCTGGGCTGTCTTCCTGTTCTTCCTGGAGGAGGACGTCATGCAGTGCTTTAGCTGAGTGCTTCCTGTGGCTCCAGGGTACAAAACCCAGGCTGGGCTGCTTTCTGGCTTCCCCCAGCTACACTGCAAATGGGGTGACTCCATATGTCCCGAGCAGCTTTTCTGAGCCTTGAGGGACTGGCTCACATTGAAATGCAGGCTTCTGTTGTCACTCGCTGCTTATCTGTTAGTAATGAACCTGCCTATGTAACGTATTCTCTGTGTGTTCTGTCTCCCTGGAGTGACGGTGAGTGATAGGAATTGGCATAGGCCCAGGTGCAGTCCAGGATTTGTTTAGAGTCTTCTCTGGGAAGACTGCACTGGGATTGATACACAGCGAATGTGCTTTAGGATTTCTACATCCACAGCATTCTTGAGTCAAACAAATTGCATTCACCAAGGAAAGGAAACAAAGGTGACATCACGATTAAAAATAGCGAAGCAAGATTCTCTTATGTCAAACAGCCAGGAAATAGTGTTGAAGCCCGTGTGAAATGTGCTACTCTTTGTGATCTCGGGAGACACATGTTAGGTTGCTGTTCTACCCGAGAGGCTGGGGGAAGGACCACCCCCTCGACCATCTATTGCTTCAATACCACCTGTCCTCCTGTGAATTAGTAGGAAAGGGGAACAGGAGCTAGTGCTGTCGCTGATCTCTGATTCCAAGATCTGGACTCACTCCAAGGAGTATTAATGTTTCCTCCCCATGGTCTATCTGAATCTCCACAGGTGATTGGAAGTAGGGGTGAGGTGGGGGATTTGGGTGAGTGGGCAAGTTTTTTTTTGCGATGACCAGAGCACTTTCTCTATTCCAGGATCCGTGCTGGAGGATTCAGCGGGCTTTCACATTTTCTATGTGATCTCATGCTCACAGAAAGCCAAATAGGGAAGAGGTTTTAGGCTCATTGCCTAATGGATAAGATAAAGGATCAAAGAAGTAATTATAGAGAAATAGAAAAATGATGATTGGAATTCAGGTGCCTTTGTCATTCGTGTGTGTTTTATTATATTTATGCATTTCTTATTTTTATTTTTTGAGACGGAGTCTCCTTGTGTCACCCAGGCTGGAGTGCAGTGATGCAATCTCCACTCACTGCAACCTCCACCTCCTGGGTTGAAGTCATTCTCCTGCTTCATCCTCCAGAGTAGGAGCTGGGATTACAGGGATGCACCACCATGCTCGGCTAATTTTTGTATTTTTAGTACAGATAGGGTTTCACCATGTTGGCCAGGCTGGTCTGGAACTCCTGACTTCATGGAATCCACCCGCCTTGGCCTCCTGCAGTGCTGGGTTACAAGCATGAGCCACCGTTCACAGACTTGTATATTATGCTATAATAGGTCCCTTCATTTCCACCACCCCTCATATATCTGTCACTCCTTTGCCAGGTATTGATTTATGTGTAGGATGAATAAATCTCAGAAAGAAATTAATTAAGCGAGGATTAAACAAGTAGGAAAATCAAACCCAGTAAGCCTTTCCAGTCAATGATTCTACCTCACAAGCATATCTTATATCCATCTACTTCATTCATTTAGTGTCTAAATCAGCACCACATTTCACCAGTGGGGCGGCAATTGCCTTTTCCACGGTCTCCTAGATTCCAGTTACGCACCTGAGCCTCCCTTATTTTCATGTCAGTCATATTAATCATGTAGGGATTCCTGGTTACCCCGAGGTGAATCCAATGGCTGTGAGTGTCAAACACACACTCCTTGTTGCTCCTTAGTTTCCTGTGTACCCAGTGTGCTCTCCGTCTCTCTACAGTCGTCTTGTCATTCTCCCCATCTCATTCCCAGCATTTCAGGCAGAGCCTCTTCCTTCCACATCAGATTGTTTTCAGCTTTCTGCCTTCACGGCTGACAGCTGTGTGTGGAAAATCCTTCCGCCAATCTTTCAGGGGTTCAATCCGTGTTTTTCATTAATGTCACAAATATCTGATTAGTGAGACCTTCTCTGTCACCCAAAATTATACACTCAGCATTATCTATTATTTATTTTGAATTCTGGCTGGGCAAAGTGGCTCACGCCTTTTATCCCAGTACTTTGGGATGCTGAGACGGTTGGATCACTTGAGGTTGGGAGTTTCAGACAAGCTTGGCCAACATGGTGAAACATCCTCTCTACAAAAAATATACAAAAAGAATTAGCCGGGCATGGTGGCAGTTGCCTGTAATCCCAGCTACTCGAGAGGGTGAGGCAGGAGAATCACTTGGATCCAGGAGATGCAGGTTGCAGTGAGCCAAGATCGTGACACTGCACTGTAGCCTGGAAGACAGAGGGAGACTCTGTCTCAATAAACAAACGAACAAACAAACAAATAGATTTCATGCACAGATGCTTCCCAATGGATCATTCATTTATTGGTCCACTTGTGCATTCATTTTCTGTCCTCCCATTTAACCATCTGCAATATCAGTGTCCCAAGAGCAGAGGCCAAATGCATCTTGTTCACCATTTGTGGAAGGCAGGAGAATGCTGTCCCACCCCAAAATGTCCCTGTCCTAGCCTCCATAGCTTGTGAATATGTTATTTTACATGGAAAGGAGGAATGAAGATTGCAGATGGAATTACGGTTGCTAATCAGCTGAACTTAAAACAAGGGTATCCTGAATGATTTCCGGGAGATTATGACGGATTTTCATCTTGGTGAACCCAATAGAATCCCCAAGTTTTCAAAAGATGAGGAAGAAGGGAGAGCAGCATTCAGAGAAAGAGGTGTGGTAAGGAAGAAGGGTCTGAGTGATGCCATGTGAGATGTGACCAGCCTTTGTGGGCTTTGAGGAAGGAGGAAGGGGACCAGCAGCCAAGGAACTGGGAGCCTTTATAAGATGGGACAAGTGAGAAGCAGATTCTTGCCTGGAATCCTCAGAGGGAAGGCAGGCTTGCTGTCATCTTGATTTTAGCCCAGTGAGATGCACTTCATGCTTTGAGCTAGAGCACTGTAAGATAATTAAATAACCGTTTTGTTTTCACCCACGAATCTTGTGGAAATTTGTTATGGCAACAATAGGAAAAGCTTCCACACTGCACAACCTGAGCATGGGGCCATGGCTGAATAAGTCAGTGAGTCGAAGTGTGCGTGCATGAGCTCTGTTCTCTGTTACGGCAAGGCTCTTGCTCTGCTGAGTCAGCCAGGGTTGTTTCATGACCAACAGGAGCTCATTCCTTGGCAAGTGGAACTTCTCTAAAACACCTCGCCCTCATCAGATGTTCGCTTCCCTTCCCTCTCTCAAGCCCCCAGGAATTTATCCTCCAGTTAGGAATGCAAGCAGAACAAACATTGCATTTTTCCTGAGAAGGATGTCAGATTGGCAATCATTCTTCTAGCTTGTAGGAGGTCTCAGCTCCATAAAATGAGAGATGAAGAGATTTCACTGAGCCCTGTGTTGGGCCCAGATCCCTTTCGCTGTTGGAGTATCTGGAGTTCGGAGATGGTAGAAGACAGGCGTACAATGTCAGAGCTGTGAGATGCTGAGTCAACGCCTGAATCCAAGGTTTCCACCTCCCCAGGGTTCCAAAAGCAGATATAAGAGGGTCCTGTACTCACCGGTTTTGGAGCTTGGTTCAGTGGGTGAAGGCCAACTATTTGAAGGGTTTCCTAGAACATGAGACAGGAGAGAGGTGAGGAAATGCGGGTGTCTGTCCTCTACTCAATGGAAATCTTTGAGGATGGTTCATGGCCAACACTCTGTTATCTAACATTGGGCCCTGGGAGTCCAGGGATCCTTTCTTCCATAATTTTTGTATGTGACGCCCACTGTCTTGAGACTTCAAGGTATAAAGAGAAAACAGGAGCATCACACTACCTGATCTCAAAATATGTTACAGAGCTGTAGTAAGCAAAACAGCATGATGTTGGCATGAAGAAAGGCACATAGAACAACGGAGCAGAATGAAGAACACAGATATAATCCATGCATTTACATCCAATTTTTTTTATTTTTTCTTTTGAGATGGAGTCTCGCTCTGTCACCCAGGCTGGAGTGCAGAGGTGCAATCTCGGTTCACTGCAACCTCAGCCTCCTGGGTTCAATCAATTCTCTTGCCTCAAACTCCTGAGTAGTAGTATTACAGGTGCTGACCACCATGCTCAGCTAATTTTTATATTTTTAGTGGAGACGATGTTTCATCACGTCGGCCAGAGTAATCTTGTACTCCTGTCCTCAGGTGATCCACCAGCCTTGGCCTCCCAAAGTGCTGAAGTTGCTGGTGTTAGCCACCATGCCCAGCCCATCCAATGGACTTTGACAAAGGTGCCAAGAACTCACAATCAGGAAAGGACAGTTTTTTCAATAAACAGTGCAGGGAAACCTGGACATCTACATGCAGAGGAATGAAACTGCACCTCTACCTGTCACCATACACAAAAATCAAATGAAAGTGGATTAAAGATGTGAGTCTAAGGCCTGAACCTGTGAAACACGTAGAAGAAAATATTGGGGAAATGCTCCAGGACATTTGTCTGAAGGAAGACATTTTGTTTTAAACCTTCAAAACACAAGTAATTGAAGCAAAAATAGACCATTGGGATTACCTCAAACTAAGCAACTTCTGCACCGCTAAAAATAAACCAACAAAGTGAAGAGACAACCCACAGATTGGGAGCAAATATGTGCAAACTATGCTTCTGAGACGGGATTAGTAACTAGAAGTATAAGAAGCTCAAACAACTCAATAAAACAAATGATTTAATTGAAAAAGGAGCAAAAGACATGAAATTTCCCCACATACGAAAAAGTGCTCAGTATCACTCATCATCAGAGAAACGCGAATTAAAATCAAAGTGAGTTTTCATCTCACCCCATTAAAATGGCTTTTAGGCCGGGCGAGGTGGCTCACGTCTGTCATCCTAGAACTCTGAGAGCCCGAGGTGGGCGAATCTCATAAGGTCGGGAGTTTGAGACCAGTATGACCCACATGGAGAAACGCTGTCTCTACTAAAAATACAAAAATTAGTCGGGCGTGGTGGCGTGTGCCTGTAATTCCAGCTACTCGGGAGGCTGAGGCAGGAGAATCGCTTGAACCTGGGAGGTGGAGGTTGCGGTGAGCCGAGATCGCACCACTGCACTCCAGCCTGGGTGACAAGAGCGAAACTCCATCTCAAAATAAAATGAAATAAAATAAAATGGCTTTTAGCTGCAAGACAGGCAAAACAAATGCTGGCAAGGTGGTAGAGAAAGGAGAACCCTGGTACCCTGTTGGTAGGAGTGTAAATTAGTACAGCCATTACGGAGAAAAGTATGGAAGTCCTTTAAAGAACTAAAAAGAGGTTGGATGAAGTGGATCATGCCTGTAATCCCGGCACTTTGGGAGACCGAGGCGGGCACCTCAGTTGAGGTCATGAGTTTGAGAGCAGCCTAGCCAACCTGGGGAAACCCCATGTACACTAAAAAAAACCAAAAAGTATCCCGGCATGGTGGCGTGCACCTGTAATCCCAGCTACTAGGGAGGCTGAGGCAGGAAAATCATTTGAACCCAGGAGGCGGAGGTTGCAATGAGCCAAGATCACATCACTTGTACTCCAGCCTGGGCACAGAGGGAAACTGTCTCAAAAACAAAAACAAAACAACAAACGAAAAACTAAAAAGAGAACTTTCATAGTATCCAGCAATTTCACTACTGGGTTTATATCCAAAGGAAAGTAAATCAATGTATCGAAGTGATATCTGCACTCGTATGATTGGTGCAGCACTGTTCACAGTAGCCAAGATGTGGAGTCAACCTACCTGCCCATCAGTGGATGAATGGATAGAGAGAATGTAGTACATACGCACAGCGGAGACTACTCATCCATAGAAAGAATAACATCCTGATATTTGCAGCCACATGGATGGAACTGGAAGTCATTACAAATATTCTCATTTCTCACCCATATACAGGAGCTAAAAGGTGGATCTCATGAAGATAGAGAGTAGAATGGTGGCTACCAGAGGCCAGGAAGAAAAGGGTGGAGGATAAAACAAACAAACAAAAAATTTATATGTATGTATTTATGACCACTAGACCTTACACTTAAAATTGGTAAACGTGGCCGGGCGCGGTGGCTCATGCCTGTAATCCCAGCACTTTGGGAGCCTGAGGCGGGTGGATCACGTGGTCAGGAGTTCCAGAGCAGCTCGACCAACATGGTGAAACCCCCTCTCTACTAAAAATACAAAAAGTAGCCTGGCGTGGTGATGGGCGCCTGTAGTACCAGCTACTCAGGTGGCTGAGGCAGGAGAATCGCTTGAACCCAGGAGGCGGAGGTTACAGTGAGCTGAGATTGTGCCACTGCATTCCAGCATAGGAGACAGAGCTAGACTCCACCTCAAAAAAAAAAAATGTTAAAAGTGGTAAGCTATATAGGTATATTTAACCTCAATAAATATTTTTTCAAACAAAAAGAAAAGGATGTAGGGGTTGCTGGTGATGACATCTCTGTGTGGGTGAGAGGCCAGGAAGGGCTTCTGGGAAATGGGTAAGGTTGAGGGGCTGAGGGAACCTCTGATCTCCCCAAACTGAGCCCAGTCTCCCCTTCTCTGGGTCTCTCCTGACCGCTTTCTACATCTGCCTGGGTGCCTGGAGCCCTAATCGGAGGCCTCCATGCAGGCCATGCAGGAGGGTTTGGAGGTGCTGTGTGTGCCATCCTGCGCCCTGATCCCTCCCTCACAGGCATGCTGCGTCTTCTCTCTGCATCTGTCCATGCTTCTCTCCATCATCAGCAGGAAGCTCCTCAGCTAAGGCTCTAGGATCATAGGACATGGGACAGATATGGGGTTTCCTCACCTGTGACGGAAACAAGCAGTGGATCACTCGAGTTTGACCACTCGTAGGGAGCGTCACGGAAAGAGCCGAAGCATCTGTAGGTCCCTCCGTGGGTGGCAGGGCCCAGAGGAAAGTCGGCCTGGAATGTTCCGTTGATGCTGCGCACTGCAGGGAGCCTACGTTCATGGGCCTCCCCCTCCCTGGATAGATGGAGCTGCAGGACAAGGTCACATTCTCTCCTGCCTGAACCGTGGGGCCCGGCTGGGCTGAGAGAGAAGGTTTCTCATATAGACCTGGAAGGAGAAGGGGCAGTTTCCTCAGGGGGGATCTTCCTTGTCACAGCTCCCCTCACACCTGACCTGAGAACTCACTCCCCTGCTCTATGGCCTAATGCTCTCTTTCTCTGTCTCACCCTCCACCCCATCTCTCTTCATGTCTATTTCCTCCTTCCACCTTCTCTGTCTCTGTAGGTCTCTGACCTCACTTCCCTACCTCTAGTTATGTTTTCCGTTTTTGGATTGTTTTATTCTCTCTGGCTCTCCTTGGATTGGTTGACTTGATGTTACTTTTTTTAACTCTGAGTTTCTCAGTTTGTGTCCCGTTCATAACTTTCTGCATATTTCTATCTATTATCTATCAATCCATCTATTTATCTATTCGGTGCCTATCTACAAATTCTCTACCTGTCATCTATATCTATATATCATCTATTTATCTATCAATTGTCTATCCGTCAATCATCTATTATCTATATATATGTATCATCTCTCTCTCTCTATTATTTCTCTCTTTGTCTTCCTCTCTATCTCTATGTATTATCTATCCATCTATCTTCATCATCATCATCTCTATGTATCATCTATTAATGAATCAATCAATCATCATCTATGTATCTATAACCTATTATCTATCATCTACCTATATATCATCTATCTATATCTATCCATCATCTATCTGTATCTATCCATCTATCATCTGTCTTGCTCTGCCTCTCGGTCTCTCTAGTTCTCTTTGGAATCTCTGCAATTCATCCCCACATCTCCATCTTTCTATGCCCTTGTGCCTCACCCTCAGGACTCTAATTTTAGTGGTTTTCTCTGCTCTCTTCCATCATTCTCTCCACTTCTCTGCCCTCTTCTCTCTCTTTATGTGTCTGTGAGTCTCTCAATCTCCTTCCTCTGGCTCTTTCTCTGTGTGTTTATGTCTTTGCTTTTTGGTGTCCCTGATTTCTCTCTGTGCTTCTCAGTGATCCTCTCATATGTGATATGTGGGGTTATTTGGAATGTGAGCCTCAGAATCCAGTCTGGAGACCACAAGTTCACACAGCATACAGGGGTTGGTGTTCTGGGGCCATGATATTTTGGGACGATTATTCTCCATTGCATGGAAGTCAGAGGTGTCAGAATAAGCATGGCATCTGTAGGTGCCACAAGGCCTGAGGCCACAGGGCCCAACTCAGGTCAGAAATATGGGTGTCCTTGGGTTCTCCTGGTAGAGAACACTTTGTGGAGGTAAAACAGAAATGAAACTTCTAACCTGTGCCAGGTCTCTGAGCAAAGTCAGCATGGAAGGACACCTCTGTCTGGGACATGTCTGTCTGTCTCCTTTAACTCTTTCTGTCTTTTCTAACTCCCTGTATGGCCCCTGTGTTTGTCCTCTGTTACGACACCTGGTCTGTACTTGTGTCTCTTGTTTCTCTGTCTCTGTTGGCACAGACCTCACCAAGTCAGTCTCTCTCCATAAGAATACCAAGCTCATCTTCCTTACAACCACCTGGGTCTCCAAGTCCTGGATCATTCACTCTGCATCCCAATGACAATGAGAAGAATGTCTGGACACTCTCACCTATGATCACCATGTCCAGAGGGTCACTGGGAGCTGACAACTGATAGGGGGAGTGAGGAACAGAACCGTAGCATCTGTAGGTTCCTGCAAGGACAGGCATCATGGGACCAATGGAGAAGTTGGCCTTGGAAACCCCATCATGGTGCTCTCCAATGAGGTGCAAAGTGTTGTTAAACTTCCCCTCTCTGTGCAGAAGGAAGTGCTCAAACATGACATCCGACCAACATTGCAGGATGACTGTCTCTTCTGATTTCACCAGGTGACCTGGGAGGGCCAGGAAGGAAGGTTTTCTGTGGACTCCTAGGAAGAGAGGTTGTGAGTTTAGAAGGTGTCTCTCTTTATCATCCCATCCATGGCACCTGGAATGAGTGAGCCTTCCCTTCGCTGGTGTCTGTCTCTCTGCTTCCTCTCTGTGTCTTCATGTTCTTTTCTGTGCCCATAACTCCTGGTGCAGGTCCTTCCATCTGTCTCCCTCCCTCTTCTCTGTCCCTCTGTCTCTAGTAGCTGTGGTTCCCTTCCCACTGGGCTCAGCCTCATCTCTTGGGCTGTTGTATCTATTTCACACTAATGTCTTTCTTACTGTCTATGTGGGAGTGGAAGAGGAAGCAGGATAGGCTGCACGTCCCGGCTCTTAGCAGCCTGGTTCAATCTCTTTTGGACGAATTGGAATCCTTGGCAGGAGGTATGAACTGATCAGTAAGGCAGGCACCAGTGTCCACACACCCTGTTCCTGGTGGGGACTGGGAGCCACTCTTGCCATGTCTGTGCCTTCTCCATGGTGCCAGTTTCCATAGGCTGGCTCCTCGTGCTGATTTGAGGAGTATCAACCCCTCCCTATGTGGATGGAGCCTGGTGGTGGCATCATCATCCCACCCTTGCTGATCTCGGTGTAGCCAACCTTCTCTTTGTTTGGTTTCTTTAATTAATTAATTAATTTTGGAGACAGAGTCTCACTCCTTCGCCCAGGCTGGAGTGAAGTGGTGTGGTCTACGCTCACTGCAACCTCTGTCTCCTGGGTTCAAGCGATTCTCCTGCTCTCAGCCTCCTGAGTCGCTAGGATTACATGCACCTGCCACCATGCCTGGCTATCCTTGTGTCTTTTCTTAACTTGTCCTTGACCTGGGTTCCAGTGTTGGTTTCCTGTTGCTGCTGTAGAAAATTATCAGAAGCATGGCAGCAGGAGAGAGCACACTGACCCCCTCCGATTCTGGAGACAGAAAGCGGACCCTGTTTTTTGAGGGCTAAAATCAAGGCATCTGCAGGGCTGTGTTCCCTCTGGAGACTCAGGAGAATCAGTTACTTGACTTTCCCAGCCTCTATAGGCCACCTGCATTCATGGCTTATGGCCTTCATCCACCTTCAAAGCTGATGGAGTCTCCCACTACGCTGCTCTAATCCCCACTCTCCTCTTCCTCCTCCTTTCATGTGGACACTTGTGATTATACTGAGCCCACCGGGACAGTCCAGGCTGTCTCCCCATCTCAAGGTCAACTCATCAACAACCTGAGCTCCATCTTCCCCTTCAGTCCCTTCCCCTATAACATAAATAGTCACAGACTCCAGGGATTAGAATGCAGTCATCATTGGGGACACTTATTCTTCCCACCACAGCACCCATTTCCCTGTATTCAATCCCCCTTTACCCCAAATACAGTTAGGGCCTGCGTGATGGGACCCTCAAGGACATGCCTACCAGAAGCTCTGGGATTCAGGAGGTGGGACAAGGAGAATCCCAGACAGGAGCCCTCTGACCTGTGACCATGATCACCAGGGGGTTGCTGGGTGCCGACCACCCACTGGGGGAGTGTGTGTGTGAACCCCGGCATCTATAGGTCCCTGCATGTGACGGGGTCACAGGGCCCATGAAAAGGCTTTTCCAGAATATTCTGTTGTACAGCTCAGGGACAGGCACCCCATCATCCTTGTACAGACTGAAGTTGTTAAACCCAAGATTAGAGTGACACTGAAGAGTCACATGTTCTGGAGGCACCACAAGGCTGGGCCAGGTAGAAAGCAAGGGCTTGTCCTGACCACCTTGGGGTGAAGGAGGCGCCGCCTTAGAGAGGAGGATGTGGAGCTGTGCCTCCCTCCCTGTGCTCAGAAGATTCTCCCCACTTTCCACATTTCTATGGCTGCTATCACACCTTGGTGCCTAGGGCTAAAGGAAGGACCCATCCCACAAAGACAAGGTGTCTCCGTACAACAAAAGTGTCAGCTGAGAACTTTGAGCAAGTGCTGAGTAAGAGACTCCTACTAGATTTTAATACTGTAAGATTACTGACATAAAACAACACAGGGTAGACATGAAGTGGAGGGCATGTCCTTTGAGAATGGAATATCAGCAGTTGCCTGAATGAGAATAAAAAACTTAGCCCCCATCAGAGGATTTGGAATGTCAGGGCCATGGCTGTGGTTTCCCACCTCTTCTGGTAGAATGACAGCAGCCACACTGCAGCCCCTACCGTCATGGAAACGCTGAAGTGTGTGAGTAACACCTTTGTCCTCAGAGGATCTGCTGTTCCTACCACTTCCCCACCACACAACCCAGCTTTGAACACCCTAGTCCAACCCTGGTCCCCACACAACTTGACTCTGCCAAGGGGTTGAGAGGCCAGGGAGGCAAGGTCGGAACTGTGGGCCGAGCACCCCAGGGTCCCCTCTTCCTAGTTTATGAGAGACTCCCTGACAGGACTTCCCTCCCATTTCAGGAAAATCCTCTTATGTGGGGAGATGACACCCTAAGGTTTGGAGAAGGACTTACCCTCCTGTGGCCAGGCCCCCTGCAGCAAGAAGAACCCTGGAAAGAAAGATCATGATGGAAGATCCATTTGCAGGCAAACAAGGCCTTCCTTGCTGCCCCCACTGGGCTGTGAGTCTTGATAGCCAGCCCCTTCCTGGGCCGAAGGGAAACTCACCATCAGTGCCTACCTGCACCCAAGAACAGTGCTCTCGGCTGTGCAGAGACCCAGCCTCCAGGCCCATATCCCCACCCCAAGCCCATATCTCCACTCCAGGCCCATATCTCCACTCCAGGCCGATATTTCCACCCTAGACCCATATAGCCAATCCGGGCCCACATCTCCAATCCAGGCTCAGATCTCCACCCTAGGCCCATATCTCCAATCCAGGCCCATATCTCCACTCCAGGCCCATATCTCCTCTCCAGTCCCATATCTCCACTCCAGGCCCATATCTCCACCCCAGGCCCAGATCTCCACCTCCAGGCCCATAACTACACTCCAGGATCATATCTCCACTCCAAGCCCATATCTCCACATCAGGCCCATATCTCCACTCCAGTCCCATATCTCCACACCCAGGCCCATATCTCCATTCCAGGCCCATATCCCCATCCTAGGCCCATATCTCCACCGTAGGCCCAGATCTCCACTCCAGGCCCATATCTCCACTCCAGGGCCATATCTCCACTCCAGGCCCATATCTACACACCAGGCCCATATCTCCACCCCATGCCCATGTCTCCACTCCAGACCCATATCTCCACCCCACGCCCATATCTCCACTCCAGGCCCATATCTCCAACCCACGCCCATATCTCCACCTCCAGGCACATATCTCCACCCCACGTCCGTATCTCCACTCCAGTCCCATATCTCCACTCCCGGCCCATGTCTCCACCCCATGCCTATATCTCCACTCCAGTCCCATATCTCCACTCCAGGCCCATATCTCCACTCCAGACCCATATCTCCACTCGGCCCATATCTACACTCCAGGCCCATATCACCACCTCCAGGCCCATATCTCCACTCCAGGCCCATATCTCCACCTCCAGGCCCATATCTCCACTCCAGACCCATATCTCCACTCCAGGCCCATATCTCCACTCCAGGCCCATATCTCCACTCCAGGGCCATATCTCCACTCCAGGCTCATATCTCCACTCCAGGCCCATATCTCCACTCCAGGGCCATATCTCCACTCCAGGCTCATATCTCCACTCCAGGCCCATATCTCCACTCCAGGGCCATATCTCCACTCCAGGCCCAGATCTCCACCTCCAGGCCCGTATCTCCACTCTAGTCCCATATCTCCACTCCAGGCCCATATCTCCACCTCCAGGCCCATAACTTCACTCCAGGCCCATAACTCCACTCCAGGCCCATATCTCCACCTCCAGGCCCATATCTCCACTGCAGACCCATATCTCCACTCCAGGCCCATATCTCCACTCCAGGCCCAGATCTCCACTCCAGGCCCAGATCTCCACCTCCAGGCCCCTATCTCCACTCTAGTCCCATATCTCCACTCCAGGCCCATATCTCCACCTCCAGGCCCATAACTTCACTCCAGGCCCATAACTCCACTCCAGACCCATATCTCCACCTCCAGGCCCATATCTCCACTGCAGACCCATATCTCCACTCCAGGCCCATAACTGCACTCCAGGACCATATCTCCACTCCAGGCTCATATCTCCACTCCAGGCCCATATCTCCACCTCCAGGCCCATAACTTCACTCCAGGCCCATAACTCCACTCCAGGCCCATATCTCCACTCCAGTCCCATATCTCCACTCCAGTCCCATATCTCCACCCTAGGCTCCTACCTCCCCTCCAGGTTCCTATCTCTCCTCCAGGTTCCTCTCTCCACTCCAGGTTCCTATCCCCACTCCAGGCCCATATCTCCACTCCAGGCCCAGATCTTCACTCCAGGCCCAGATCTCCACTCCAGGCGCAGATCTCCACTTCTAGGCCCATCACTCCATCTCTAGGCCCAGATCTCCACTCCAGGCCCAGATCTCCACTCCAGGCCCATAACTCCACCTCCAGGCCCATATCTCCACCTCTGGGCCCAGATCTCCATCCCCACGCTCCCTCCCTCTATTCCCTTCCAGGACTCACCAACACACGCCATGATGATGACCATGAGCGACATGGTGCTGCCGGTGCAGACAGGCGGCCGCGCCCCAGCTCAGCTCAGCAGCGCACAGGATGTTATTTGGCGCCCTGCCCATGCAGTTTACATGTTGACCACATCATGGGAGGGTGACGTACGCAGGCTTTTTCTACCTTGCATGAGGCCCAGTGTGTGCTCGCTCAAGAGCGGAACATGGCTTCCTGGAAATTGCTCTCACTAGAATTGACACCTCGCGTCCTTCACTATGACCAACTCAAAACACGTCTTAGATCCAACCTCCCAAACATGAGATGCCTAAAATCTGTGCTAACATGAAAGACTTTTCATGAATTTTTATTGTTTTTATCTGAGATTCGAACTCTTCTTCCTGTGTAATATGCAAAATATCTAATAGGTATTATTAGTGTTTTCAGAGTCATTGTGACTAATAAACCATTAGAATTGTTCATGCTTGTATTTCTAGTATTACAGCAGAACCAGTTCAAATGATTTAAATTCCCAGGGAAGGATTATGCAATTATTTACAATCTTAGAATTGTACTTTATCAGCAAAAACCACACATGTAAATTCTGGATTTTTGTAGTTTTATCTATAATTTGTCTCATGACTCAAGATTCCAGAGTCCCAACTGTGGAGTTTGCTCTCTCTCTGTCTCTCTGCCTCCCTCATTTTAAATTTTACAGAAATATCCAGTAACATAATGCTATAGAAAATCAAGTTTCCCCCAGCAGGTTGGGAAGCCGAGGTGGGCGGATCAACTGAGATGAGGAGATTGAGAGCAGCCTGGCCAACACAGTGAAACCGCGTCTCTGCTAAAAATTCAAAAATTAGCCATGCCTGGTGGCAGGCACCTGAAACGCCAGCTACTCAAGAGACTGTGGCACGAGAATCGCCTGAACCTGGGAGGCGGAAGTTGCAGTGAGCTGAGATTGCTCCACTACAGTCCCGCCTGGGCGACAGAGCAAGACTCCGCCTCAAGAAAAAAAAATAGCAAGTAGCCTATAATAACAAATTAGAGGGCTCTGGCTACTAAATTTAAAGGGTTTTATAAGGCTACATGAAGTGCAGCATCCTCAAGAGTGTGGACACAGAGAGCCCCTTAGCAGAAACAGTGTCTAAAATACATCCGTGTACACACAGTCCCTTTAGAGTTGACAAAGGCTGCCGTGTGGTTTAAGGTGGCATAGAATGTCTTCTCAATAAATAATATTAAACCAAAGGGTTACACGTAGGAAAAAATAAATCTAAACTTATTCTCACACTATAAAAACACTTCTTACTTTTTATCTAGTTATTGTACATTTTTTATGATTTATATTTAAAATTGAGAAATAAAAGTCATATACGGTCATCCTTTACTATTCGTGGGTGATTGGTTTCAGGATCTCCACTCAGGTACCAAAATCTGCAGATGCTCAAGCCTCTTACATAAAATGACACAGCATTTGGATATAACCCATGCACATCCTCCTGTATACATGAAATCATCTCTTGATTACTTATAATTCCTGATACAGCCTACACACTGCCTCATTTGTGTCCATTCAACATAGTTTTGCATTTTGAAACTTTGTGGACATTTTCTCTGAATATTTTTGATTTACACTTGGTTCAATAAACACCTGTAAACCCCACAGATATGGAGGAGCGACTGTATATTTATAGTATGAAATATGATGTGTTGATATGTGTCCCCGTGGAGATGAGACTAGCAAGGCTTATGACTCTACAAATGTTTCATCGTGGAATGACTCTGCCAGCTTTCCAGGTTGCAGAGAGTAAGAATATCACTTGTTCATGTGATTCACGATCCTTGGAACCTCCTATGTGCTGCATCTTTGGATGGAAATTGGAGTCCCAGAGACAAATGAGGCTCCACCCTGCTTCCAGAAGCTCAGAGTCCAGGGGTGAGAACCTAGCGGAGAACAGATGGGGTTATGTGGACATGGTAATGATAACAGCGGTTTCTTTCAGCGAATACAGTGTCACATTACCTGAAGCAATGAGGGCAGACATGTTTATTTGAAGAGGAGACAGCTACATTGAAATCACAAAAAATTTTATAAGTTTCACTGCTGACAGAAGGCTGGAAAATAGTCCGAAGAAAGGTGAAACAGCATGAGGGAAGGTGGAACAGCACGTGGGTAAGTGCCACGTCAAGAGGGAGCCTCTTGTATGTTTGGAATTGTGAGTTCCTCAGTGTGATCGCAGCCTCAAGTAGACTAGGAAGTAAGCCAGTTAGGTTGGAGAGGTGGGCAGGGGTCAAGTGAAATGGAGAACTGTGGGCTAAGCAAAGGAGTGTGTTTTCTTTCCAGCAGGCAGTGGGGACCTAGACATTTGTAAGCAAGAGAGAGGCACCAGATTTGTGGCGTGAGGAGGAGCGATGCCCTAAGATGAAGACTCAGGCCTTCAGATTCCAGCTGCTGGTACATGGGAGCTGGCAACTCGGTTTTGAGACAGGGCTGTTGTCTCCCTAGAAGACGCCCTCAAGGCCTGACTGTGGTGCTCATGGGCAGGAGACAACTTTGGATCTGGGCTTAGCATTTGGAAGTTCCGTGTACAAGATGGTATCTGTAGGGGGTGTCTTGGGCCTCTGAGAAGGGCGAGTGATTTTTCTCTGTGTGAAAACGCAGTGATCCAACTGTGCGTATGTCACCTCCTGAGGGTCTTGTTCATCAGAGTCCTGGAGAGAGGGAAATGCTGAGTGAGGGAGGGAAATGCTGAGTGAGGGAGGGTGCTCACGTTTTCCAGGACTGTTTGGGAATAACACTAGCCACGAGGCTGGGCCGAGGAGCACCTACCTCGCTGTTGGCTGTTCTGTTCCCTGCAGGCTCTTGGTCCATTACAGCAGCATCTGTAGGAGACGGAAGTCAACAAAAGAGCTCGGAGGGCACTTCTGGGTCCTCATTTCATAAGCAGATACCAACAAACAGGGGGAGGCCATAGGTGCCTGAGGTCCCTCAGTTGCCAACAGCAGACTCAGACATTCTATCTCTCTGAGCTCAAGGACCCATCCCATGAATAGCTCTGAGTTCCCATCCCATTGATTCTATCTCCCACTTTCTGCCTGTCATGGAACCTTCTCCTGGATGTGAGTGGCTGCGGGGGACATGAGGATACAGTTCAGAATCAGGCAACGGTCTGTGAGCTGAAGGCAGGGGCAGGGAGTCTGGTGCTCTCTCTAGAAAGTCCTGCCTCTGTGGCTGCTGCCTTGGGCCAGGGACCATCCTGCCAGTGAGGAACACACAGCTGTGTGCTCCCATCCTGCTTCCCCACATGGCCCTGAGCTCTCTGGCCTGTGCCGCGTGAGACTTACTTTTTTTGTTGGAGTACCAGAGATGAAGGAGAAAGAAGAGGAGGAGGATGAAGAGGATGATGACCACTGAGGTCCCAATGAGAACATGCAGGTGTCTGGGGTTACCTGGAAGAAGAGGAGACACCAGTAAGAAGCTAATCATAGCAGATTCTCTATATGAATTGTCTTGCATTTCTTGATTGACAGGTAACCACTTACAGCATCTCTTTCGGACAAGCACCCAGATGGCGGGAGACCTAGCTTCCTCCTGCTTTCTCAGTTATAGCTCTCATAGTAAGCATGGAACGTGCTGAGGATACAACTACTTTAGTTGAGATGTTTGACCCCTTCAAACCTCACATTGAAATTTAACCCCCAGTGTGGGAGGTTGGGCCTCTTGGGAGGTGTTTGGGTCATGGAGGTGGATCCATCATGAACAGATCAATGCTGTCCCAAGGAGACGGGGTTAGCAAGTTCCCTCTCTATTAGTTCCTGGAGAGCTGGTTGTTAAAAAGAGCTTGGAAGCTCCATTGCTCCCCCTCCCCCTTGCTCCCTCTCTTGCCGTGTGATCTCTGTGGTCTCTGCACAGACAGACTCTCCTTCCCTTCTGCCAGAGTGGGAGCGGCCTGAGGCCATCATAAGAAATAGATTCTGGTGCCATGCTTCCAGTACAGCCTGCAGAATGGTGAGGCAAACCAATCTCTTCTTTAGAAGTTACCCAGGCTCAAGTGTTCCTTTAGAGCAACAAAAATGGACTAAGACAGCAAAGTCCTGAGATCAGGAGGATCGTCCCAGAACAGCCTGGGCTGTCTTCCTGTTCTTCCTGGAGGAGGACGTCATGCAGTGCTTTAGCTGAGTGCTTCCTGTGGCTCCAGGGTACAAAACCCAGGCTGGGCTGCTTTCTGGCTTCCCCCAGCTACACTGCAAATGGGGTGACTCCACATGTCTCGAGCAGCTTTTCTGAGCCTTGGGGAACTGGCTCACATTGAAATGTAGGCTTCTGTTGTCACTCGCTGCTTATCTGTTAGTAATGAACCTGCCTATGTAACGTATTCTCTGTGTGTTCTGTCTCCCTGGAGTGACGGTGAGTGATAGGAATTGGCATAGGCCCAGGTGCAGTCCAGGAGGTGTTTAGAGTCTTCTCTGGGAAGACTGGACTGGGATTGATACACAGCGAATGTGCTTTAGGATTTCTACATCCACGGCATTCTTGAGTTAAACAACTTGCATTCTCCAAGAAAAGGAAACAAAAGTGAAATCAATATAAAAAAAGCGAAGTAGAATTCTCTTATGTCAAACAGCCAGAAAATAGTGTTGAAGCCCGTGTGAAATGTGCTACTCTTTGTGATCTCGGGAGACACATGTTAGGCTGCTGTTCTACCTGAGAGGCTGGGGGAAGGACCACCCCCTCGACTATCTATTGCTTCAATACCACCTGTCCTCCTGTGAATTAGTAGGAAAGGGGAGCAGGAGCTAGTGCTGGGACAGATCTCTGATTCCAAGATCTGGACTCACTCCAAGGAGTATGAGCATTTACCTCCCCATGATCTATCTGTATCTCCACAGGTGATTGGAAGTAGGGGTGAGGTGGGGGATTTGGGTGAGGGGGCAAGTTTTTTTTGTGATGACCAGAGCACTTTCTCTATTCCAGGATTTGTGCTGGAGGATTCAGCGGGCTTTCACATTTTCTATATGATCTCATGCTCACAGAAAGCCAAATACGGAAGAGGTTTTAGGCTGATTGCCTAATGGATAAGATAAAGGATCAAAGAAGTAATTATAGAGAAATAGAAAAATGATGATGGGAATTCAGGTGCCTTTGTCATTCGTGTGTGTTTTATTATATTTATGCATTTCTTATTTTTATTTTTTGAGATGGAGTCTCCTTGTGTCACCCAGGCTGGAGTGCAGTGATGCGATCTCCACTCACTGCAACCTCCACCTCCTGGGTTGAAGTCATTCTCCTGCTTCATCCTCCAGAGCAGGAGCTGGGATTACAGGGATGCACCACCATGCTCGGCTAATTTTTGTATTTTTAGGAGAGATAGGGTTTCACCATGTAGAGATAGGGTTTCACCATGTTGGCCAGGCTGGTCTCGAACTCCTGATTTCTTGGAATCCACTGGCCTTAGCCTCCTGCAGTGCTGGGTTACAGGAGTGAGCCACCGTTCACAGACTTGTATATTATGCTATAATAGGTCCCTTCATTTCCACCACCCCTCATATATCTGTCACTCCTTTGCCAGGTATTGATTTATGTGTAGGAGGAATAAATCTCAGAAAGAAATTAATTTAGCAAGGATTAAACAACTAGGAAACTCAAACCCAGCAAGCCCTCCCTGCAAATGATTCTACCTCCCAAACATAGCTTATATCCATCTGCTTCATCCACTTAGGGTCTAAATCAGCACCACATTTCACCAGTGGGGCGGCAATTGCCTTTTCCACGGTCTCCTAGATTCCAGTTACGCACCTGGGCCTCCCTTATTTTCATGTCAGTCATATTAATCATGTAGGGATTCCTGGTTACCCCGAGGTGAATCCAATGGCTGTGAGTGTCAAACACACACTCCTTGTTGCTCCTTAGTTTCCTGTGTACCCAGTGTGCTCTCCGTCTCTCCACAGTCGTCTTGTCATTCTCCCCACTTCATTCCCAGCATTTGAGTCAGAGCCTCTTCCTTCAACATCAGATTGTTTTCACCTTTGTGCCTTCACAGCTGACAGCTGTGTGGAAAATCCTTCCGCCAATCTTTCAGGGGTTCAATCCGTGTTTTTCATTAATGTCACAAATATCTGATTAGTGAGACCTTCTCTGTCACCCAAAATTATACACTCAGCATTATCTATTATTTATTTTGAATTCTGGCTGGGCAAAGTGGCTCACGCCTGTAATCCCAGTACTTTGGGTTGCTGAGATGGTCGGATCACTTGAGGTTGGGAGTTTCAGACAAGCTTGGCCAATATGGTGAAACATCCTCTCTACAAAAAATATACAAAAAGAATTAGCCGGGCATGGTGGCAGTTGCCTGTAATCCCAGCTACTCGAGAGGGTGAGGCAGGAGAATCACTTGGATCCAGGAGACGCAGGTTGCAGTGAGCCAAGATCGTGACACTGCACTGTAGCCTGGAAGACAGAGGGAGACTCTGTCTCAATAAATAAATGAACGAACAAACAAATAGATTTCATACACAGATGCTTCCCAATGGATCATTCATTTATTGGTCCACTTGTGCATTCATTTTCTGCCCTCCCATTTAACCATCTGCAATATCAGTGTCCCAAGAGCAGAGGCCAAATGCATCTTGTTCACCGTTCGTGGAAGGCAGGAGAATGCTGTCCCACCCCAAAATGTCCCTGTCCTGGCCTCCATAGCTTGTGAATATGTTATTTTACATGGAAAGAAGGAATGAAGATTGCAGATGGAATTACGGTTGCTAGTCAGCTGAACTTAAAACAAGGGTATCCTGAATGATTTCCAGGAGATTATGATGGATTTTCATCTTGGTGAACCCAATAGAATCCCCAAGTTTTCAAAAGATAAGGAAGAAGGGAGAGCAGCATTCAGAGAAAGAGGTGTGGTAAGGAAGAAGGGTCTGAGTGATGCCATGTGAGATGTGACCAGCCTTTGTGGGCTTTGAGGAAGGAGGAAGGGGACCAGGAGCCAAGGAACTGGGAGCCTTTATAAGATGGGACAAGTGAGAAGCAGATTCTTGCCTGGAATCCTCAGGCAAGGGAAGGCAGCCTTGCTGTCACCTTGTTTTTAGCCCAGTGAGATGCACTTCATACTTTGAGCTACAGCACTGTAAGATAATTAAAAAGCCGCTTTGTTTTCACCCACGAATCTTGTGGAAATTTGTTATGGCAACAATAGGAAAGGATTCCAACTGCACAGCCTGAGCATGGGGCTGTGGCTGAATGAGTCAGTGAGTCGAAGTGTGCGTGCATGAGCTCTGTTCTCTATTACGGCAAGGCTGTTGCTCTGCTGAGTCAGCCAGGGTTGCTTCATGACCAACAGTAATTCATTCCTTGGCAAGTGGAACTTCTCTAAAACACCTCGCCCTCATCAGATGTTCCCTTCCCTTCCCTCTCTCAAGTCCCCAGGAATTTATCCTCCAGTTAGGAATGCAGGAAGAAAAAACACTGCATGTTTCCTGAGAAGGATGTCAGATTGGCAATCATTCTTCTAGCTTGTAGGAGGTCTCACCTGCAGGACATTAAAGGTTAAGAGACTTCGCTGAGCCCTTTGGTGGCCCTAGATCCCTTTCACTGTTGGAGTGTCTGGAGTTCAGAGATGGTGGAAGACAGGCCCTCATTCACAGAGCTGGGAGGTTTGAGCCAACACTTGCATCCAAGGCTTCCACCTCCCCAGGTTTCCAAAAGCAGAGATAAGAGGGGTCCTTTACTCACCAGATTTGGAGCTTGGTTCTGTGGGTGAAGGCCAACTACTTGAAGGGTTTCCTAGAACACGGGACAGGAGAGATGTGAGGAAATGAGGGTGCTTGTCCTCTACTCAATGGAAATCTTTGAGGTTGGTTCATGGCCAACACTCTGTTATCTAATGTTGGACCCTGGGAGTCTTGGGATCCTCTTCTCCATAATTTTTGTGTGCGATGCCCACTGTCTTGAGACTTGAAGGTATAAAGAGAAAACAGGAGCATCACACTACCTGACTTAGAAATATGTTACAGAGCTGTAGTAAGCAAAACAGCATGACATTGGCATAAAGAAAGGCACATAAAAAATGGAACAGAATGGAGAACACAGATATAATCCATGCATTTACATCCAATGGCTTTTTTTTTGTGTGTGTGTGATAGAATCTTGCTCTGTCATGCAGGCTGGAGTGCAGAGGTGCAATCTCAGCTCAATGCAACCTCCACTTCCTGGATTCAAGCAATTCTCTTGCCTCAAACACCCGAGTAGTGGTATTACAGGCACTGGTCACCATGCTCAGCTAATTTTTGTATTTTTAGTAGAGACGAGGTTTCACTCTGTTGGCCAGCCTGGTCTTGAACTCCTGGCTTCAGGTGATCCATCCGCCTCGGCCTCCCAAAGTGCTGGAATTGCAGGTGTGAGCCACCATACCCAGCCCATTTAATGGACTTTGACAAAGGTGCCGAGAACTTACAATCAGGAAAGGACAGTCTTTTCAATAAATGGTGTGGGGAAAACTGGATATCTACATGCAGAGGAATAAAACTGCATCTATACCTGTCACCTTACACAAAAATCAAATGAAAATGGATTAAAAACATGAGTCTAAGGCCTGAACCTATGAAACATGTAGAAGAAAATAATGGGGAAGACATTTGTCTGACGAAAGACATTTTGTTTAAAACCTTCAAAACACAAGTAATCAAAGCAAAAAATAGACCATTAGGATTACATCAAACCAAGCAACTTCTGCACCACAAAAGATAAACCAAGAAAGTGAAGAGACAACCGACAAAATAGGAGCAAATATTTGCAAACTATTCATCTGAGACGGGATTAATAACTGGAAATATAAGAAGCTCAAACAACTCAATAAAACAATTTAATTCAAAAAAAGAGCAAAAGACATGAGGAGACATTTCTCCACAAACAAAACATAGAAATGGCGATCACGTATATGAAAAAGTACTCGGCATCACTCATCATCAGAGAAATGTAAATTACAATCGCGATGAGTTTTCATCTCATCCCATTAAAATGCCTTTTAGGCCGGTGGCTCACGCCTGTAATTCCGGCACTTCAGGAGGCGGAGGTGGGCGGATCACCTGAGGTCGGGAGACCAGCCTGACCATCATGGAGAAACTCCCTCTCTACTAAACATACAAAAATTAGCTAGGCGTGGTGGCACATGCCTGTAATCCCAGCTACTTTGGAGGCTGAGGCAGGAGAATCAGTTGAACGCGGGAGGCGGAGGTTGCAGTGAGCTGAGATCACACCCTTGCACTCCAGCCTGGGCGACTATGAGTGAAACTCCATCTCAACATAAATAAATAAATAAAATGAAGTAAAGTAAAATGGCTTTTACTGCAAGACAGGCAAAACAAATGCTGGCAAGATGGTAGAGAAAGGAGAACCCTGGTACCCTGTTGGTAGGAATGTAAATTAGTACAACTATTATGGAGAAAAGTATGGAAATTCTTTAAAAAACTAAAAGGAGGCTGGGCATAGTGGCTTATGCCTGTAACTTCAGCACTTTGGGAAACCGAGGCAGGCACCTCACTTGAGGTCAGGAGTTTGAGAGCAGCCTGCCCAAAATTGGGATATCCCGTCTGTGCTAAAAAAATACAAAAATTAGCCAGGCATGGTGGCGTGCACCTGTAATCACAGCTACTAGGGAGGCTGAGTCAGGACAATCATTTGAACCTAGGAGGCACAGGTTGCAATGAGCCAAGATCTCACCACTTAGACTCCAGCTTGGACTAAGGAGGGAAACTCTTTCTCAAAAAAGGAAAAAAAAAAAAAAGAGAACTTTCATAGTGTCCAGCAATTTCACTACTGGGTTTATATCCAAAGGAAAGGACATCAGTGTATCGAAGTGATATCTGCACTCATATGACTGTTCCAGCACTGTTCACAGTAGCCAAGATGTGGAGTCAACCTACCTGCCTATCAGTGGGTGAATGGATAGAGAACTGTAGTACACACACACAGTGGAGACTACTCATCCATAGAAACAATAACATCCTGTCATTTGCAGCCACATGGATGGAACTGGAGGTCATTACAAAGATTCCCATTTCTCACCACATGAAGGAGATAAAAGGTGGATCTCATGAAGGTGGAGAATACAATGGTGGACACCAGAGGCCAGGAAGGGAAGGGTGGAGGGTAACAAAAAAAAGAATATAGATGTATTTATTTATTTAGAAACAGAGTCTCTCTCTGTCTCCCAGGCTGCAGTGCAGTGGCATGATCTCGGCTCAGTGCAACCTCTGCCTCCTGGCTTTAAGTGCTTCTCCTGCCTCAGCCTCCCAAGTAGCTAGGACTACAGGTGCATGCCGGCATGCTCGGCTAATTTTTCTTGTCTGTTTAGTAAAGATGAATTTCCCACATGTTGGCCAGGGTGATCTCGAGTTCCTGATCTTAAATGATCCACCTTCCTTGGCCTCTCAAAGCGCCGAGATTACAACCGTGAACCACCACACCCAGCATATAAAGGTATTTATGACCACTAGATTTTACTTTTAAAAATGGTAAAGTTGGTAAATTATATAGTTACATTTAACCTCAATAAATATTTTTGAAAATGAAAAGAAAAGGGTGTAGGGGTTGCTGGTGATGACATCTCTCTGTGTGGGTGAGAGGCCATGATGGGCTTCTGGGAAATGGATAAGATTGAGGGGCTGAGGGAACCTCTGATCTCCCCAAACTAAGCCCAGTCTCCCCTTCTCTGGGTCTGTCCTGACCGCTTTCTCCATCTGCCTGGGTGCCTGGAGCCCTGATCGGAGGCCTCCATGCAGGCCATGAAGGAGGGTTTGGAGGTGCCCTGTCTGCCATCCTGCGCCCTGACTCCGCCCTCACACCTGCTGTGTCTTCTCTCTGCATCTGTCCATGCTTTTCTCCATCATCAGCAGGAAGCTCCTTAGCTAAGGATTTAGGATCATAGGACATGAGAGAGATATGGGCTTTTCTCACCTGTGACAGAAACAAGCAGTGGGTCACTCGGGTCTGACAACTCGTAGGGAGAGTGACGGAAAGAGCCAAAGCATCTGTAGGTCCCTCCGTGGGTGGCAGGGCCCAGAGGGAAATCTGCCTGGAATGTTCTGTTGACCTTGCGCACTGCAGGGAGCCTACGTTCATGGGCTCCCCCCTCCCTGGATAGATGGTACATGTCATAGGAGCTCCGGGAGCTACAGGACAAGGTCACGCTCTCTCCTGCCTGAACCTTGGGGCCCGGCTGGGCTGAGAGAGAAGGTTTCTCATATGGACCTGGAAGGAGAAGAGGCAGTTTCCTCAGGGAGGTTCTTCCTTGTCATAGCTCCCCTCATACCTGAGCTGAGAACTCACTCCCCTGCTCTATGACCTAATGCTCTCTCTCTCTCTCTCACCCTCCACCCCATCTCTCTTCATATCTGTTTCCTCCTTCTACCTTTTCTGTCTCTCTAGGTCTATGACCTCAATTCCCCACCCTGAGGTATGTTTTCCCTTTTTGGATTGTTTTATTCTCTCTGACCCTCCTTGGATTGGTTGACTTGATCTTCCTTTTTCTTTAATTTTGAGTCTCTCACTTTCTGTCTTGTTCATAACTTTCTGCACATTTCTATCTATTTATCTATTTTGTGTCTATCTACAAATTATCTATCATCTATATTTATGTATCACTTATCTATCTCTCTATCAATTGTCTGTCTGTCTATCTATCCATCAATCATCTATTATCTATATATGTATCATCTATCTCTCTCTCTATTACCTCTCTGTCTGCCTCTCTGTCTCTATTTATGTATCATCTATGTATATATCTATGTGTCTATCATCATCATCGTCATCTCTATGTATCATCTATCAGTCATCATCTATGTATCTATAACCAATCCATTATCTATCATCTACCTATTTATCATCTATCTACGTCTATCTATCCATCTATCATCTCTCTCTCTCCGTCTCCTTGTCTTTCTCTGCCTCTCAGTCTCTCTAGTTCTATTTGGAATCTCTGCAATCCATCCCCACATATTTATCTTTCTCTGTCTTTGTGTCCCTCCCTCAGGGTTCTGATTTTGGGGCTTTTCTCTCCTCCTTTCCATCATTCTCTCCACTCTGCCCTCTTTTCTTTCTTTTTATGTGTCTGTGAATCTCTTAATCTCCTTCTTCTGGCTCATTTTGTGTGTGTTTATGTCTTTGCTTTTTGGTGTCCCTGATTTTTCTCTGTGTCTCTCAGCGATCCTATCATATGTGGGATTATTTGGAATATGAGCCTCAGAATCCAGTCTGGGGACCCCAAGTTCACACAGCATACAGGGGTTGGTGTTCAGGGGCCATGATATCCTGGGATGATTACTCTCCATTGCATGGAAGGCAGAGGTGTCAGAATAAACACGGCATCTGTAGGTGGCACAAGGCCTGAGGCCACAGGGCCCAACTCAGGTCAGAAATATGGGTGTCCTTGGGTTCTTCTGGTAGGAACACTTTGTGGAGGTAAAACAGAAATGAAACTTCTAACCTGTGCCAGGTCTCTGAGCAAAGTCAGCATGGAAGGACACCTCTCTCTGGGACATGTCTGTCTGTCTGAGTGTCTCCTTTACCTCTTTCTCTCTTTTCTACCTCCCTGTATGGCCCCTGTGTCTGTCCTCTGTTATGACACCTGTTCTGTACTTATGTCTGCTGTTTCTCTGTCTCTGTTGGTACAGACCTCACCAAGTCACTCTCTTTCCGTAAGAATCCCACACTTATCTTCCTCATGACCACCTGGGGGTTCCAAGTCCTGGATCATTCACTCTGTGTCCCAGTGACAATGAGAACAATGTCTAGACACTCTCACCTGTGACCACGATGTCCAGGGGATCACTGGGAGCTGACAACTGATAGGAGGTGTGAGTAACAGAACCGTAGCATCTGTAGGTCCCTGCAAGGGCAAGCATCATGGGACCGATGGAGAAATTGGCCTTGGAGACCCCATCATGGATCTGTCCAACGAGGCGTGAGGGGTCCTTAGAGATCCCCTCTTTGTGCAGAAAGAAGTGCTCAAACATGATATCTGACCAACATTGCAGGATGACTCTCTCTCCTGATTTCACCAGGGGACCTGGGTGGGCCAGGAGGGAAGGTTTTCTGTGGTTTCCTAGAAAGAGAAGTTGTGAGTTTAGAAGGCATCTCTCTTTATCATCCCATCCATGGCACCTGGAATGAGTGAGGGTTCCCCTCCCCGTGTCTGTCTCTCTCCTCCCTCTCTGCATCTCCGTGTCTTTTCTGTGCCCATATCCCCTGGTGCAGGTGCCTCCATCTGTCTTCCTCCCTCTTCTCTGTCCCTCTGTCTCCAGTAGCCCCTGACTCCCTTGCCACTGTGAAGACAGCCTCATCTCTTGGGCTGTTGTATCTGTTTCCCACTAATCTCTTTCCTGCTGTCTATGTGGGGGTGGAAGAGGACAGGCTGCATGTCCAGGCTCTTAGCAGCCTGAATCAATCTCTTTTGAACAAATCCCCAGTTCAAGTGATTCTCTTGCCTCAGCCTCCCCAGTCGTTGGATTACTCGCGCCCACCACCACATCTGGCTATCCTTGTTTGGTTTCCTAACTTGTCCTTGACCTGGGTTCCTGTGTTGGTTTCCTGTTGCTGCTGCAGAAAATTACCACAAACATGGCAGCGGGAGAGAACACACTGACCCCTTCCACTTCTGGAGACAGAAATTGGATCCAGTTCTCCCTGTGCTGAAATCAAGGTGTCTACAGGGCTGCGTTCCCTCTGGAGAATCAGCGAATCAGTTCTCTTGACTTCTCCAGCCCTTAGAGGCCACCTGCATTCTGTGACTAGTGGTCTTTCTCCACCTTCAAAGCCCGCAGTGGCTGATAGCGTCTCCCTCCCACTACACTGCTCTAATCCCCACTCCCCTCTTCCTCCACCTCTCATGTGGACCCTTGTGATTACACTGAGCCCAGTGGGACAGTCCAGGCTGTCTCCCCATCTCAAGGTCAACTCATCAACAACCTGAGCTCCACCTTCCCCTTCAGTCCCCTGCCCTGTAACATAAATAGTCACAGGCTCCAGGGATTACAATGTAGCCATCATTGGGGACAGTGATTCTTCCCACCACAGCACCCATTTCCCCTGTATTCAATCTCCCTTGACCCCAAATACAGTCAGGGCCTGGGTGATGGGACCCTGACGGACACCCCCACCAGAAGCTCTGGGATTCAGGAGGTGGGACAGTGAGAAGCCCAGACGGAAAGCCTCTGACCTGTGACCATGATCACCACGGGGTTGCTGGGTGCCAACCACCCAGTGGGGGAGTGTGGGTGTGAACCCCGACATGTGTAGTTCCCTGCATGTGCTGTGGTCACAGGGCTCATGTTGAAGCTCTCCTGGAATATTCTGCCATGGAAGATGGGAATGTGGATTCCGTCTTCTTTGTATAGCATGAAATTGTTAAACCTATGATGATAGTGACACCGAAGAGTCACGTGTCCTCCTCGAGGCACCACAGCGCTGGGCCAGGCAGACAGGAAGGGTTTGTCCTGACCACCTGGGGGAGAAGGAGGCACTGCCTTAGAGAGGAGGATGTGGAGCCGCCCCTCACTCCCAGTGCCCAGAAGATTCTCCCCATTTCCACTTTCTAAGGCTCCTACCACACCTGGGTGCCCAGGGCTACAGGAAGGACCCATCCTGCATAGACTTGGCGTCTCCCTACAACAAGTGTCAGCTGAGAACTTTGAGCAAGTTGCTGGAGAAGCAACTCTTACTAGATTTTAATACTGCAAAATTACTCATATAAAACAACACAAAGTAGACACGGCATGGAGGGCAAGTCCTATGTGAATGGAATATCAGCCAATTGATGAACTGAGCCCCCATCAGAGGATTTGGAATGTCAGGGCCATGGCTGTGGTTTCCTCACCTTTTCTGGTAGAAAGACCGCAGCCACACTGCAGCCCCTACCATCACGGAAACGCTGGAGGGTGTGAGTTACACCTTTGTCCTCAGAGGACCTGCTGTTCCTAGCACTGCTTCCCTCTCTTTCTCTGCTGCTGACACCACTTCCTCCCTGCACACCCATCTTGGAGCACCCTAGTCTCACCCCAGTCTTCACAGAGCTTGACTCAGGAAAGGGAATGAAAGGCCGGGGAAGGCAAGGTCAGAAATGTGGGCCGAGCATCCGAGGGTCCCCTCTTCCTAGTGTATGAGAGACTCCCCGACAGGACTTCCCTCCCATTTCAGGAAAATCCTCTTATGTGGGGAGATGACACCCTAAGGTTTGGGGAAGGACTCACCCATGTGTGGACCGGCCCTCTGGACCAAGAACAACCCTAGAAAGAAAGATCATGATGGACCATCCATCTGCAGGCAAACCAGGGCACCCTGCTGCCCCCACTGGGCTGTGCGTCTTGGCAGCCAGGCCCTTGCTGGGCTGAAGGTAAACTCACCCTCGCTGCCTACCTGCCCCCAGGAACAAGGATCTCGGCTGTGCAGAGACTGAGCCTCCAGGCCCAGATCTCTACCTCCAGGCCTAGATCTACACAACAGGCCCAGATCTCCACTCCAGGTCCGTATCTCCACTCCAGGCCCATATCTCCTCTCCAGGCTGGTAAGTCCACTCCAGGCCCATATCTCCACTCCAGGCTCCTATCTCAACTCCAGGCTCATATATCCACTCCAGGCTCATATCTCCACTCCAGGCCCATATTTCCACTCCAGGCTTCTATCTCCTCTCCAGGCCCATATCTCCTTTCCAGGCTTGTATGTCTGCTCCAGGCCCGTATCTCCACCCCAGGCCCATATCTCCACTCCAGGATCATATCTCCACTCCAGGCCCAGATCTCCACTTCATGCCCTTAACTCCACCTCCGGGCCCATAACTCCACCTCTAGGCCCATATCTCCACTCCAGGCCCATATCTCCACTTCAGGCCCATATCTCTACTGCAGGCCCCTAACTCCACCTCCAGGCCCATATCTCCACTCCAGGCCCATCGCTCCACTTCTAGGCCCATCACTCCACCTCTAGGCCCACATCTCCCCTCCAGGCCCATATCTCCCCTCCAGGCCCATCTCTCCACCCCAGGCACATATCTCCACCCCAGGCCCATATCTCCACTCCAGGCCCAGATCTCCACTCCAGGCACATATCTCCACCCCAGGCCCCTATCTCCACTCCAGGCCCAGATCTCCACTCCAGGCCCAGATCTCCACTCCAGGCCCAGATCTCCACTTCAGGCCCATAACTCCACCTCTAGGCCCATAACTCCACCTCTAGGCCCATATCTTTACCTCCAGGTCCAGATCTCCATCCCCGCACTCCCTCCCTCGATTCCCTTCCAGGACTCACCAACACACGCCATGCTGACGACCATGAGCGACATGGTGCTGCCGGTGCAGACAGGCGGCTGCGCCCCAGCTCAGCTCAGCAGCGCACAGGATGTTATTTGGCGCCCTGCCCATGCAGTTTACATGTTGACCACATCATGGGAGGGTGACGTACGCAGGCTCTTTCTACCTTGCATGAGGCCCAGTGGGTGCTCGCTCAAGAGCGGAACATGGCTTCCTGGAAATTGCTCTCACTAGAATTGACACCTCGCGTCCTTCACTATGACCAACTCAAAACACGTCTCAGATCCAACCTCCCGAACACGAGATGCCTAAAATCTGTGCTAACATGAAAGACTTTTCATGTATTTTTATTGTTTTTATCTGAGATTCAAACTCTTCTTCCTGTGTAATATGCAAAATATCTAATAGGTATTATTAAGGTTTTCAGAGCAATTGTGACAATAAACCATTAGAATTTTTCATGATTGTATTTCTAGTATTACAGCAGAACCAGTTCAAATGATTTAAACTCCCAGGGAAGGATTATGCAATTATTTACAATCTTAGAATTGTACTTTATCAGCAAAAATCACAACATGTAAATTCTGGATTTTTGTAGATTTATCTAGAATTTGTCTCATGTCCCAAGATTCCAGAGTTCCAACTCATGGTTTGCTCTCTCTCTGTCTCTCTGCCTCCCTCATTTTAATTTTTACAGAAATATCCAGTAACATAATGCTATAGAAAATCAATTTCCCCAGCACTTTGGAAGCCGAGGTGAGTGATCAACCGAGGTCAGGAGTTTGAGACCAGCCTGGCCAATATAGTGAAACCATGTCTCTGCTAAAAATACAAAAATTAGCCATGCCTGGTAGCAGGCACTTGTAATGCCAGCTATTCAAGAGGCTGAGGCACGGAATCCCTTGAACCTGGGAGGCGGAAGTTGCAGTGAGCCGAGATCGTGCCACTGCACTCCAGCCTGGGCAACAGAGCGAGACTCTGCCTCAAGAAAAATAAAAAAAGCATAGCAAATAGCCTATAATAAATAACTAGAGGACTCCAGCTACCAAATTTTAGGGGTTGTATAAGGCTGCATAAAATGCAGCATTCTCAAGAGAGTGGACAGAGAGAGAGCCACTGAGCAGAAAACAGTGTCTAAAATACATCCGTGTACACACAGTCCCTTTATAGTTGACAAAGGCTGCCATGTGGTTTAAGGTGGAATAGAATGTCTTCTCAATAAATAACATGGGCCCAAGGGTTACACATAGAGAAAAATATATCTAAACGTATTCTCACACTATAAAACACTTGTTTATTTTATCTTGTTATTGTAATTTTTTTATGTTTTATATTTAAAATTGAGAAATAAAAATTATATACAGTCATCCCTCACTATTCGTGGGTGATTGGTTTCAGGATCTCCACTCAGATAGCACAATCTGCAGACGCTCAAGCCTCTTACATGAAATGGCACAGCATTTGCAAATAACCCATGCACATCCTCCTGTGTACATGAAATCATCCCTTGATTATTTATAATTCCTGATACAGCCTACACACAGCTTCATTTGTGTCCATTCAACATAGTTTTGCTTTTTGAAACTTTGTGGATTTTTTCTCTGAATATTTTTGATTTATATTTGGTTCAATAAACACCTGTAAATCCCACAGATACAGAGGACCGACTGTATATTTATAGTATGAAAGATGATGTGTTGATATGTGTCCCCGTGGAGATGAGACTAACAAGGCCTATGACTCTACAAATGTTTCATCATGGAATGACTCTGCCAGCTTTCCAGGTCTGCAGAGAGTAAGAATATCACTTGTTCATGTGATTCACGATCCTTGGAACCTCTTATGTGCTGCATCTTTGGATGGAAATTGGAGTCTCAGAGACAAATCAGGCTCCACCCTGCTTCCAGAAGCTCCGAGTCCAGGGGTGAGAACCCAGTGGAGAACAGTTGGAGTTATTTGGACATGGTAATGATAACACTGGAAACTTTCAGCCAAAAAAAGAGTCACCTAAAGAATGAAGGCAGACATGTTTATTTGAAGAGGAGAGAACTACACTGAAATCAAAAAAATTTTATAAGGTTTGCTGATGCCAGAAGGCTGAAAAATAGTCTGAGGAAAGGTGGAACAGCACGAGGGAAGGTGGAACAGCACGTGTCTAAGTGCCGTGTTAAGAGAGAGCCTCTTGTATGTTTGGAATTGTGAGTTCCTCAGTGTGATTGCAGCCTCAAGTAGACTAGGAAGTAAGCCAGTTAGGTTGGAGAGGTGGGCAGGGGTCAAGTGAAATAGAGAATTGTGGGCTAAGCAAAGGAGTGTGTTTTCTCTGCAGCAGGCAGTGGGGACCTTAGACATTGGTAAGCAAGAGACAGGCACCAGATTTGTGGTGTGAGGAAGAGTGATGCTCTAAGATGGAGACTCACGCCTTCAGATTCCAGCTGCTGGTACATTAGAGCTGGCAAGCTGGGTTTGAGACAGGGCTGTTGTCTCCCTAGAAGATCCCATCAAGGCCTGACTGTGGTGCTCATGGGCAGGAGACAACGCTCTGGGCTCAGCATTTGGAAGTTCTATACACACGCTGGTATCTGTTGAGGGTCTCTTGCTCCTCTGAGAAGGGCCAGTGATTTTTCTCTGTGTGAAAATGCAGTGATCCAACTGTGCGTATGTCACCTCCTGAGGGTCTTGTTCATCAGAGTCCTGGAGAGAGGGAAATCCTGAGTGAGGGAGGGTGTTCACATTTTTCAGGACTATTTCGGAATAAGACTGTATCCATGAGGCTGGGCTAGGAGGACCTACCTCCCTGTTCACTGTTCTGTGTCCCGCAGGCTCTTGGTTCATTACAGCAGCATCTGTAGGAGACGGAAGCAATCAAAACAGCTGGGAGGGCACTTCTGGGTCCTCATTTCATGAACAGATACCAACACACAGGGGGAGGCCATAGGTGCCTGAGGTCCCTCAGCTGCCAACAGCCAGACTCAGACATTCCATCTCTCTGAGTGCAAGACCCCATTCCATGAATAGCTGTCAGTTCCCATCCCATTGATTCTATCTCCCACTTTCTGCCTGTCATGGAATCTTCTCCTGGATGTGAGTGGCTGCAGGGGACGTGAGGATACAGTTCACAATCAGGCAACGGTCTGTGAGCTGAAGGCAGGGGCAGGGTGTCTGGTGCTCTCTCTAGAAAGCTCTGCCTCTGGCTCCTGCCTTGGGCCAGAGACTTTCCTGCCAGTGAGGAACACACACCTGCGTGCTCCCATCCTGCTTCCGCACAGGGCCCTGAGTTCTCTGGCCTCTGCTTCGTGAGGCTTACTTTTTTTTTGGAGCACCAGCGATGAAGGAGAAAGAAGGGAAGGATGGTAAAGAGGATGATGGCCACTGAGTACCTAATCACAGCATGCAGGTGTCTGGCGATACCTGGAGGAAGATGGGAATCCAATAAGAAGCTAACCATAGCAGTTCCTCTTTGTGGATTGTCTCTCATTTCTTGGTTGCCAGGCAACCACATAAAACACCTCTTTAAGACAAGCACCCACGAGGCGGGAGACCCAGCTTTCTCCTGCTTTCTCCGTTATAGTTTTCATAATAACAATAGAATGTGCTGATGATACAACTGCTATTGTTTCAATGTTTGACCCCTCCAAACCCCACTTTGAAATTTAATCCCCAGTGTGGGAGGTTGTGCCTATTGGGAGGGGTGTTTTGGTCATGGGGGTGGATCCATCATGAATAGATTAATGCTGTCCCCAGAGGACGGGGTTAGCAAGTTCTCCCTCTATTAGTACCCTGGAGAGTTGATTCTTAAAAAGAGCTTGGAAGCTCCATCACACCCCCTTTCTCCCTCTCTTGCCATGTGATCTCTGTGGTCTCTGCACACGCAGGACCCCCTTCTCTTCTGTCAGTGTGGGAGCAGCCTGAGGCCGCAGCCAGAAATAGATGGTAGTGTCCTGCTTCTAGTACAGCGTGCAGATCAGTGAGCCAAACACATCTCTTTTCTTTAGAAGATACCCAGGCTCAAGTGTTCTTTTATAGCAACAAAAATAGGCTAAGACAGCAACATCCTGAGATCAGGAGGAACGTCTCAGAACAGCCTGGGCTGTCTTCCTGTTCTTCCTGGAGGAGAACATCATGCAGTGCTTTAGCTGAGTGTTCCCTGTGGCTCCAGGGTACAAAACCCAGGCTGGGCTGCTTTCTGGCTTCCCCCAGCTACAGTGCACATGAAGTGACTCCATGTGTCCTGAGCAGTTTTTCTGAGCCTTGAGGGACTGGCTCACCCTGAAAGGAAGGTTTCTGTTGTCACTCGCTGCTTATCTATAAGTAATGAACCTGCCTATGTAATGTATTCCCTGTGTGTTCTGTCTCCCTGGAGTGATGGTGAGTGATAGAAATTGGCACAGCCCCAGGTGCAGTATGGGAGGTGTTTAGAGTCTTCTCTGGGAAGACTGGACTGGGATTGATACACAGTGAATGTGCTTTACAGTTTCTACATCCACAACCCTCTTGACTCAAACAAATTACATTCTCCAAGAAAAGGAAAAAACAGTGACATTGAAATCAACATAAGTGAGGTTGAGCTGTCTTATATCAAACAGCCAGGAAATAATGATGAAGCTCGTGGGCAACATGCTACTTTTGTCATCTTGGGAGTCAGATATTAGGCTGCTGTTCCACCCGAGAGTCTGGGGGAAAGACCACCCCCTCCATCATCTGTTGCTTCAATACAGCCTGTCTTTCTGTGAATTACTCCAAAAGGTGACCAGGAGATAGTGCTGGCACTGGTCTCTGAGTCTACGATCTGAACTCCAAAGAATATTAGTTTTTACCTCCCCATGATCTATCTGTATCATTAATGTGATTGGAAGTAGGGGTGAGGTGGGGGATTTGGGTGAAGGGGCAAGTTTTTGTCCCATGAACAGATCACGTTCTCTATTCCAGGACCTGTGCTGGTGGGTTTCACATTTTCCATATGATCTCATGCTCACAGAAAGCCAAATAAGGAAGATGTTTTCGCCTGATTTTCTTACGGATAGGATAAAGGATCAAAGAAGTCATTATAGAGAAATAGAAAAATGATGATTGGAATTGGTGTGCCTTTGTCATTCGTGTATGTTATATTATATTTATGTATTCTTTATTTTTATTTTTTGCCATGGAGTCTCACTCTGTCACCTAGGGTGCAGTGCAATGACGCGATCTTGGCTCACTGTAACCTCTCCCTCCCTGGTTGAAGCCATTCTCCTTCTTCAACTTCCCGAATAGCTGGTATTACAGGCATGCGCCACCACCCCCAGCTAGTTTTTGTATATTTAGTAGAGATGGGGTTTCACCATGTTGTCCAGGCTGATCTCGAACTCCTGATCTCACTTGATCCAGCCTCCTCAGCCTCCCAAAATGTTGGGTTACAGGTGTGAGCCACCGTTCAGAACCTTGTGTGTTATATTATAATAGGTCTCTTCCTTTGCACCACCCCTCATGTATCTCTCACTCCTCTGCCAAGTATTGATTTACATGTAGGAAAAATAAATCTCAGAAAGAAATCAATGAAGTGAAGATTAAACAATTAGGAAAAATCAAACCAGGCAAGCCCTCCCTGCAAATTACTCTACCTCACAAACACATCTTGTGTCCATCTTTCATTCATTTAGTGTCTAAATCAGCACCACATTTCACCAGGGGGGCGGGAATTGCCTTTTCCACAGTCTCCTAGATTCCAGTTATGCACCTGGGCCTCCCTTATTTTCATGTCAGTCACTATTCATCATGTAGGGATTCCCAGTTAGCCCCGAGGTAAGTCCAAGGGCTGTGAGTGTCAAACACACGCTCCTTGTTCCTCCTTAGTTTCCTGTGTACCCAGAGTGCTCTCTGTCTCTCCACAGTCGTCTTGTCATTCTCCCCACCTCATTCCCAGCATTTGAGGCAGAGCCTCTTCCTTCCACATAACATTGTTTTCACCTTTGTGCCTTCACGGCTGACAGCTGTGTGGAAAATCCTTCCGCCAATCTTCCAGGGGTTGATCTATTTTTTTCATTAAGGTCACAAGTATTATTTGATCAGTGAGAACTTCTCTGTCACCCGAAATTATACACTCAGCATTATCTATTATTTCTTTTAAAATACGGCTCGGCGCCTTGGCTCACGCCTCTAATCTCAGCACTTTGGGAGGCTGAGACGGGCGGATCCCTTAAGGTTGGGAGTTTGAGATAGCCTGGGCAACATGGTAAAACCTTGTCTGTACTAAAAAAAAATACCAAAAAAAAAATTAGCCAGGCGTGGTGGGACATGGGTGTAATCCCAGCCTCTCGGGAAGCTGAGTGTAGAGAATCGCTTTAACCTGGGAGGTGGAGGTTGCGGTGAGCCGAGATCCCGCCACTGCACTCCAGCCTGGGGCACAGAAGGAGACACCGTCTCATAAAAAACACCAATCAATCAATCATTCTCATGCACAGATGCTTCCCAATGGATCATTCATTTATTGGTCCACTGGTGCATTCATTTTCTGCCCTCCCATTTAATCCTTTGCAATATCAGTGTCCAAGAGCAGAGGCCAAATGCACCTTGTTTACCATTTGTGGAAAGGATAAGAATGCCGCCCCACCCCAAAATATTCCTGTCCTAGTCGCCATATCTTGTGAATATGTTATTTTACATGGAAAAAAGGAATGCAGATTGCAGATGGAATTACGGTTGCTAATCAGCTAACCTTAAAAGGAGGGTATCCTAGATGATTTTAGGGAAATTATGATGGATTATCTTGGTGTTTCCAATAGAATGCCAAAGTCCTTAAAAGATGAGGAAGAAGGCAGAGCAGCATTCAGAGAAAGAGGTGTGGACAAGGAAGAAGGGTCTGAGTGATGCCGTGTGAGAGGCGTGACCAGCCTTTGTGGACTTTGAGGGAGGAAGACGGGGACCAGGAGCCAAGGAATGTGGGAGCCTCTAGGAGCTGGGAAAAGTGAGGAAGCAGATTCTTGCCTGGAACATTCAGAGGGAAGGCAGCCTTGCTGTCACCTTGATTTTAGCCCAGTGAGATGATGCATTTCATACTTCTGAGCTACAGCACCATGAGATATTTTTTAAAAATGTGGTTTCCATCCACGAAGCTTGTGGAAATTTGTTATGGCAACATAGGAAAAGGTTCCACACTGCACAGTCTGAGCATGGGGCAGTGGCTGAACGAGTAAGTGGAAGTGTCATGTGCACGGATGAACTACGTTCTCTCTTACCGCAAAGCTCTTGTTCCACTAAGTCAACCAGGGTTGGATCATGACAGACAGGAGCTCATTCCTTGGCAAGTAGAACTTCTCTACAAATACACCACCCTCAAAAATGTTCCCCTTCCTTCCCCTTCTCAAGCCCCCAGGCATTTGTCCTCCCAGTTAGGAATGCAGGCAGAACAAACACAGCATTTTTCCTGAGAAGAATGTCTGATTTGCACTCATCCTTCTACCCTGAGGTCTCAGCAGCAGAAAATTAGAGATTAAGAGATTTCACTGAGCCCTGTGCTGGGCCCAGATCCCTTTCGCTGTTGGAGTGTCTGGGGTTCAGAGACAATGGAAGACAGGCCCACAATCACAGAGCTGGCAGGTGCTGAGCCAACGCTTGAATCCAAGGCTTCTACCTCCCCAGGTTTCCAAAAGCAGAGATAAGAGGGGTCCTTCACTTACCAGTTTTGAAGCTTGGTTCAGTGGGTGAAGGCCAACTACTAGAAGGGTTTCCTAGAACATGGGACAGGAGAGAGGTGTGGCAATGAGGATGCCTGTCTTCTACTCAATGGAAATCTTTGAGGTTGGTTCATGGCCAACATTCTATTATCTAATGTTGGGCCCTGGGAGTCCTGGCATCCCATTCTCCATAATCATTGTAGGTGACACCAACTATCTTGAGACTTCAAGGTATAAGGAGAAAACAGGAGCATCACACTACCTGACTTAAAAATATGTTACAGAGCTGTAGTAAGCAAAACAACATGACATTGGCATAAAGAAAAGCACATAAAACAATGGAGCAGAATGAAGAACACGGATGTAATCCACCCATTTACATCCAATGGACTTTGACAAAGGTTCGAAGAATCTACAATCTGGAAAGGACAGTCATTTCAATAAATGGTGCAGGGAAAACTGGATATCTACATGCAGAGGGATGAAACTGCACCTCTACCTCTCACCATACACAAAAATCAGATGAAAATGGATTAATGACTTAAGACCTGAATCCATTAAATGTCTAAAAGGAAACACTGGAGAAATGCTCCAGGACATTTGTCTGAGGGAAGACATTTTGTTTAAAACCTCAAAAACACAAGTAATCACAACAACAACAAAAAAATAGACCATTGGGATTATATCAAATCAAGCAGCTTCTGCACCGCAAAGGAAGCAACCAATGAAGTGAAGAAGAGACAACCCACAGAATGGGAGCAAATATTTGCAAACTATGCATCTGAGATGGGATTAATAACTAGAATATAAAAGAAGCTCAAACACCTCAATAAAACTAATAATTTAATTATAAAATTAGTAAAAGACCTGAACAGACATTTCTCAATGAACAAAACATACAAATGAACATATATACATTGCATATATGAAAAAGTGCTCAGTATCACTAATCATCAGAGAAATGCAAATGAAGTCACAATGAGCTATCATCTCACCCCATTACAATGGGTTTTATCTCAGAGACAGACAAAACAAATGTTGGCAAGGTGGTGGAGAAAGGAGAACCCTGATACACTGTTGATAGGAATGTAAATTAATACAGCCATTACAGAGGAGAAGAATATGGAAGTTCCTTAAAAACTAAAAAGAGATTAGGCACTGTGGCTCACGCTTGTAATCCCGGCACCTTGGGAGGCTGAAGTGGGCAGATCACTGGAGGTCAAGAGTTCGAGACCAGCCTGGCTAACATGGTGAAACCCCGTCTCTACTAAAAATACAAAAATCAGCCAGGCGTGGTGGCGGGCACCAGTAATCCCAACTACTCGGGAGGCTGAGGCTGGAGAATCACTTGAATCCTGGAGGTAGAGGTTGCAGTGAGCCCAGGTGGTGCCATTGCACTCCAGCTTGGGCAACAAGAGTGAAACGCTATGTCAAAAAAACAAAAAGCATAAAACAAAACCTAAAAAGAGAACATCCAGAGGATCTAGCAATTCCACTAGTGGGTGTAAATGCAAAGAAAAGGACTTCAGTGTATTGAAGTGACATCTGCACTCCCATGACTGTTCCAGCACTGTTCACAGTAGCCAAGATGTGGAGTCAACCTACCTGCCCATCAGTGGATGAATGGATAGAGAGAATGTAGTACATACACACAATGGAGACAACTCATCCATACAAAGAGTAACGTCCTGTCATTTGCAGCCACATGGATGGACTGGAGGTCATTACAAGGATTGCCATTTCTTACTCACATGCAGGATGTAAAAGGTGGACCTCATGAAGGTAGAGAGTAGAATGGTGGATACCAGAGGTTAGGAAGGAAGGGGTGGAGGGTAACAAAAGAAGAATATAAAAGTATTTATTTATTTATTTAGAGACAGAGTCTCTCTGTGTCACCAGGCTGCAGTGCAGTGGCATGATCTCAGCTCACTGCAACCTCCTCCTCCTGGGTTTAAGCCACTCTCCCGCCTCAGCCTCCCAAGTTGCTGGGATTATAGGCGCCTGGCACCATGCCTGGCTAATTTTATTTTTTTTGTCTTTTTAGTAAAGATTGGTTCCCCCATGTTGGCCAGGCTGGTCTCCAGCCCCTGATTTTAAATGATCCACCTGCCTTGGCATCTCAAAATGCTGAGATTACAGGCGTGAGCCACCGCACACAGCATATAAAGGTATTTATGATCCCTAGATTTTACACTTAAAAATGGTAAAGTTGATAAATTATATAGGTATATTTAACCTCAATCAGCATTTTTTCAAAGGAAAAGAAAAAGTGTAGGGGTTGCTGGTGATGACATCTCTGTGTAGGTGAGAGGCCAGGGTGGGCTTCTGGGAAATGGGTAAGGTTGAGGGGCTGAGGGAACCTCTGATCTCCCCAAACTGAGCCCAGTCTCCCTCCTCTGGGTCTGTCCTGACCACTTTCTCCATCTGCCTGGGTACCCGGAGCCCTTACTGCAAGCTTCCATGCAGGCCATGCAGGAGGGTTTGGAGGTGCCCTGTCTGCCATCCTGTGCCCTGATCCCACCCTCACACCATGCTGCATCTTCTCTCCACATCTGTCCATGCTTCTCTCCATCATCAGCAGGAAGCTCCTCAGCTAAGGCTCTAGGACCATAGGACATGGGACAGACATTGGCTTTCCTCACCTGTGACAGAAACAGGCAGTGGGTCACTCGGGTCTGACCACTCGTAGGGAGATCCATGGAAAGAGCCGAAGCATCTGTAGGTCTCTCCGTGGGTGGCAGGACCCAGAGGGAAGTCGGCCTGGAATGTTCCATTGATGCTGGGCACTGCAGGGAGCCTAAGTTCATGGGCTTCCCCTTCCCTGGATAGATGGTAGATGTCAAAGGAGCTCTGGGAGCTGCAGGACAAGGTCACGTTCTCTCCTGCGCGAACCGTGGGGCCCGGCCGGGCTGTAAGCGAAGGTTTCTCATATAGACCTGGAAGGAGAAGAGGCAGTTTCCTCAGGGAGGTTCTTCCTTGTCACAGCTCCCCTCCCACCTGAGCTGAGAACTCACTGCCCTGCTCTATGGCCTAGTGCTCTCTCTCTCTCTCTCACCCTCCACCCCTAACTCTTCCTGTCGATCCCTCCCTATGTGGTTCCAGCCTGGTGGTGGCATCAGCAGTGCACCCTTGCTGATCTCAGGGTAGCCAACCTTCTTGTTTGGTTTTTTAACTTGTCCTTCACCTGGGTTCCTGTGTTGGTTTCCTGTTGTTGCTGGAGAAAATTATCACAAACATGGCGGCAGGAGAGAACACACTGACCCCTTCCACTTCTGGAGACAGAAATCAGACCCTGTTCTTCCTGGGCTACAATCAAGGCATCTGCAGGGCTGCATTCCCTCTGGAGACTCGGGAGAATCAGTTCCATTGATTTCTCCAGCCCCTTCGTGGCTCGTGGTCTTCCTCCACCTTCAAAGCCCACAGTGGCTGGTGGAGTATCCCACGATGCTGCTCTAATCCCCATTCTCCTCTTCCTTCTCCACTCATATGGACCCTTGTGATTACACTGAGCCCAGTGGGAGAGTCCAGGCCATCTCCCCATCTCAAGGTCAACTCATCAACAACCTGAGCTCCATCTTCCCCTTCAGTCCCCTGCCCTATAACATAGTCACAGGCTCCAAGGATTACAATGTGGCCATCGATGGGGACAGTTATTCTTTCCAACACAGCACCCATTCCCCTGTATTCAATCCCCCTTTACCCCAAATATAGTTGGGGCCTGGATGATCGGACTCTGGTGGACACCCCCACCAGAAGCTCTGGGACTCAGGAGGTGGGACAAGGAGAAGCCCAGACAGGAGCCCTCTGACCTGTGACCATGATCACCAGGGGGTTGCTGGGTGCCGACCACTCAGTGGGGGAGTGCGGGTGAAAACCTCGACATCTGTAGGTCCCTGCGTGTGCTGGGGTCACAGGGCTAATGAGGAAACTGTTCCAGAATATTCTGTTGTAGAGCTCAGGGACAGGGACCCCATCTTTCTTGTACAGCGTGAAGATGTTAAACCCACGACGATAGTGACACCGAAGAGTCACGTGTCCTCCTTGAGGCACCACAGCGCTGGGCCAGGCAGAGCAGAAGGGCTTGTCCTGACCACCTTGGGGAGAAGGAGATGCCGCCTCAGAGAGGAGTATGTTGAGCTGCCCCTCCCTCCCTGTGCTCAGAAGATTCTCCCCATTTCTTCTTTCTAAGGCTCCTACCACACCTGGGTGCCTGGGGCTACAGGAAGGACCCATCCCGCATAGACGTGGCGTCTCCCTACAACAAAAGTGTCAGTTGAGAACTGAGCAGGTGCTGAGTAAGGGACTCTTACTAGATTTTAATACTGCAAGATTAGTTACACCAAACAACACAAAGTAGACATGGGGTGGAGGGTATGACCTTTGTGAATGGAATATTAGCTAATGCCTGAACCACAATAAACAACTGAGCTCCATCAGAGGATTTGGAATGGCAGGGTCGTGGCTGTGGTTCCCCCACCTCTTCTGGCAGAATGACAGCAGCCACACTGCAGCCCCTACCGTCATGGAAACGCTGGAGGGTGTGAGTTACCCTCTTGTCCTCAGAGGACCTGCTGTTCCTAACACTGCTACCCTTCCCTCCTCTGTCGGTGACACCACATCCCCCCACACACCCCAGCTTTGAGCACCTCAGTATCCCGCCTGGGCCACACAGAGCTCAACTCAGCCATGGGGAAGAAAGGCTGGGGAGGGCTAAGACAAAACAGAAGGCTGAGCATACCAGGATCTCCTCTTACTAGTTCATGAGAGACTCCCAAGATCTCCTCTTACTAGTTCATGAGAGACTCCCAGGATCTCCTCTTACTAGTTCATGAGAGACTCCCCCCAGGCCTTCCCATGGTCAGCCCATCAGCCCACCCTCTGTGCTGCCTCCCTCCCATTTCCGGAAAATTCACTTGTATTGGGGTGAAGATGGCAACCCATCATTTGGGGAAGGACTCACCCACGTGTGCCCACACACTCTGGTCCAAGAAGAACCCTGCAAAGAAAGATCATGATGAACTATTCATCTCGGCACCAACCTACCCTTTCCTCCTGAGCCACTGGGCGCCACGCTGGACTGAAAATTAACTCATCCTCACCACTCACTTGCTTCAGAACATGGCTCTCTGCTGGGGAGACACCCAATCTGCAGGCCCATAGTGTAACCCTGGTGCTCCTTCCCTTCCAGGACTCACCAAGACATGCCAGGATGATGACCGTGGGTGACATGGACATGGTGCAGCTTCTGCTGCCAGGACGCAGTGACTCGGCTCGACTGACCGGTGCAGAGGATGTGGTGAGGGGCCCGGATCGTGCAGTTGACACATTGACCACAACATGTGAAGGGGACATAGGTAGGCTTCTTCTACGTCATATGAGGTTCAAGTGGTGAATCAGTCAAGGGAGGAATGAGGGTTTCTGAAAACTGCAGACTAGACTTGTCACTTCACATCATGCGCAACGGCCAGGCTCAAAACACATCTCAGACTCACTTACCCCTGCACGGGACGATTGAATTCTGCACTCACATGAGGAACTTTTGATGTATTTTTTTTTGTTTCTACCTGAGATTCAAACTCTCCTTGATATGTAATATGCAAAATACCTAATAGGTTTTATTAACACTATAGAGCAATCGTATTAAATAAATCATCATAATTTTCCATGGTTGTATTTTTCCTGTTAAGCCAGAAACAGATAAAATGATTTAAATCCCAGTAGAAAAGACTATATAGTTATTTCGCATCATAGAATTCCACCTTATTAGCAAAAACACAATATGTCAATTGAAGGTCTGGTCGTGTTATCTAGAATTTGTCTTATGACACAAGAGTCCAAATTCACAGTTCCCTGTCTCCCTTTTTGTCTCTCTGTAACGTGTGCTTTTTTTCTCCCTGTGTTGTTTGTGTGTCTTTCTTTCTCTCTCTCATTTGAGGAAAAAATATCAGACTGATAACATCCTCCAACTTGATACTGGAATATTGCAATAACTGAAGGTTGAAATCTACACATTTAATGTGCTGTCATTCTTACAAATGTCTCTTATTTACACCTACCTTTCTGGAGTTTGTAAGAACTTTTTCACTATGCATTTTAAATTTGTAAAACTCATAATTTTTAAAAAGGGATGGGTCTCACTGTTTGCCCAGGGTGGCCTTTACTCATTCTATAAGGCTGGCATCACCCTGATACTAAAGACAGAAAAGAACATTAAACAAAAGAAAACTACATGCCAATATTCCTGATGAACATAGAGGCAAAAATCCACAAAAAATACTAAGAACTGAATCCCGCAGCATATCAAAAAGTGAATCCACCATGATCAAGTCAACTTTATTCTTAGGGTGCAAGGTTGGTTGAACATACACAATCAATACATGTGATTCATCACCTAAACAAAACTAAAAACAAAAACCACATGATCTTCTCAACACACATGTAGAACATACTTTTTACTAAGAATTTCTTCATGTTAAAAGCCCTCAACAAGCTAAGCATTGAAGAAACATAACTCAATATAATAAGAGCCGCCTGTGACAAACCCACAACCAACATCATACTGAATGAGTAAAAGCTGGAAGAAGTTCCCTTCATAAGTGAAACAAGACAAGAATGCCCACTCTCACCATCCTATTCAACATAGTACTTGAAGTCCTAGACAGAGCCATCAGGAAAGAGAAAGAATTATAAGGCATCCAAGTAAGAAGAGAGTAGCAGAGAGAGGTAGTCAAATTACCTCTGTTTGAAGATGAGATAATTTCTATACCTAGAAACCCCATAGTCTCTGCCCAAAGGCTCCTACATCTGAGAAACAAACTTCAGCACAGTTTAAGGGCAGAAAGTCAATGTACAGGCTGGGTGTGGTGTCTCAGCCTGAAATCTAGCACTTTGGGAGGGCGAAGCGGGTGGATCACCTGAGGTCTGGAGTTCGAGACCAGCCTGGCCAACATGGCGAAACCCTGTCTCTACTAGAAACACAAATATAGCCGGACGGGGTGGTACGCAACTGTAGTCCCAGCTGCTTGGGAGGCTGAGTCAGGAGAACCGCTTGAACCTGGGAGGCAGAGGTTGCAGTGAGCGGAGATCACGCCATTGCACCTCAGCTTGGGCAACAACAGTGAAACTGCATCTCAAAAAAAAAACCAAAACAAATTTAATTAATGAGGAAAAGGGTATTTGTGGTGTCCATCATGATGTTTTCATATAGGTACACATTGTGGAATGGATGAAACAACCTCTTTATCATATTTATTTTTTCACATACTTGTATGTTTTGTGTGTGTGGTGAGAACATGTAAAATCTAATCTCTTAGTAATGTTCAATACACCATATGTTGCTATTAACTGGAGTCACCAAGACATACAATAGATCTCTTGAACCGATTTCTTCTAACTGAAATTTTGCATCCTTTGACCAACATCTCTTCAATCTCTCTCCATCCCAGGTTCTTTCGACGACCATTTTACTGTTCCTCTAGGTTCCACTTCTTACACTCCACACATGAGATCATGTGGCATTTGTCTTTCTGTGCCTGGATTGTTTCCCTTAACATAATGTCCTCTAAGTTTTTTCACATTGTCACAAATGAGAGGACTTCCTTCTTTGTTGTAAAGGTTGTATAGTACTTCATTACGTTCCTATCGTATACCACGTTTTCTTTGTCCATGCACCCATAGATGGGCAGTAAGGGTGATTCCACATCTTGGCTGTTATGAATAATGCGGCTGTAAACATGGGAATGCAGATATCTCTTCAACATACTGATTCCACTTCCTTTGGATACATGCGCAGTAGTTGGATTGCAGACACATATGGGAATTCTATGTTTAATTTTTTCAGGAACTTCCAGACTGTTTTCCATAATGGTTATGCTAATTTACATTCCCATCAACTGCATACAAATGTTCCCTTTTCTCCACATCCTCGTTAACCCTTGTTATTTTTTATGTTTTTGATAATGGTCTTTTTTTTTTTTTTTTTTTTGAGACTCAGTCTTGCTCTGTCACCCAGGCTGGAGTGCAGTGGCACAATCTCGGTGTACTGCAACCTCTGCCTCCTGGGTTCAAGCGATTCCCCTGCCTCAGTCTCCAGAGTAGCTGGGACTACAAGTGTGCGCCACCAAACTCTGCTAATTTTTGTATTTTTAGTAGGGATGGGGTTTCACCATATTGGCCAGGCTGGTTTCGAACTGCTGACCTCAGGTAATCTCCCTGCCTCGGCCTCCCAAAGTGCCTGAATTACAGGCATGAGCCACCATGCCCAGACTGTTAATGGTCATTCTAAGAGGTGTGAGGTGATATCTCATTCTAGTTTTAATTTTTATTTAGCTGATGTTTAGTAATGCTAATCATTTTTTCATATACCTTTTGGTGATTTGTCTTATTCTTAGAAATGTTTATTCAGATACTTTGCCCATTTTTTTAAGTTGGGTTATTTGATTTCTTACCATTGAGTTGTTTGAGTTTCTTATATATTTTGGATATTAATTCCTTATTAGATGTATGGGTGCAAATATATTCTCCCATTCCATAGGTTGTCTTTCCACTTGTTGAGTTTTTTTTTTCTTTGCAGAAACTTTCAATTTGATATAATGTTATTTGTCTACTTTTGCTTTTGTTGCCTGGGCCTTTGGGTTAATATCCAAAATGGTTTTGCCCAAGCCAGTGGAGTTTTCCCTTGATTTCTTTTAGTAGTTTTTTTTTTTTTTTTAAGATGGAGTCTCACTGTGTTGCCCCGGCTGGAGTGCAGTGGTGCGATCTCGGCTCACTGCAACCTCTACCTCCTGGGTTCAAGTGATTCTCCTGTCTCAACCTCCCGAGTAGCTGAGATTACAGGCACCCACAACCACACCCAGCTGTTTTTGTATTTTTAGTAGAGGCGGGATTTCACCATGTTGGCCATGCTGGTCTTGGAATCCTGACCTTAGGTGATCTGCCCACCTTGGCCTCCCAAATTGCTGGGATTATAGTCTTTCATCTTACATTTAAGTCATTAATCTATCTTGAGTTGACTTTGTATGTTTTGTGAGGCAAATGTCCACTTCCATTCTTCTGCATGTGGACATGCAGTCTCCCAATCCCATTTATTAAAGAGACTGTTCCTTCTCCATTGTGTGTTCTTGACACATCCCAAAAATTGTTTGACCCTAAATGCATGCATTTTTTTCCTGGGCTATGAATCACTTCCATTGGTCTATGTGTCTGTTTTTATGCAAGTACTGTGTTGTTTTAATTACTGTAATTTTGTAATGTAGTTTGTGTTTAGGTAATGTGATGCTTCCAACTTTGTTCCTTTCCCTCTAGATGGCTTTGGTTATTTGAGATCTTTTGTGGTTCCACATGAATTTTAGGACTGTTTTTTCTATTTCTGTAAAAAAAATGTCATTGGATTTTTGATAATGGTTGCATTGAATCACTTTGGATAGAATGGACATTTTAACAACATTAATCCTTCTGATCCGTGAACATGGAATATCTTTCGATTTATTTGTTTATTTCTTGAGTTTTTTCATCAATGTTTTATAGCTTTTGCATACAGATCTTTCTACTCCTTGGGTGAATTTATTCCTGCATGTTTTGTTTTCTGTAGTTATTGCAAATGGGCTTATTTTCTTGTAAACTTTTTTGGATAGTTTGTTGTTAATGTATAGAAACTTTGTTGTTGTTGTTGTTGTTGTTTTGATGATACCCATCCTAAGGGGTATGAAATGGCATCTGGTGTAGTTTTAGTTAGTATTTCCCTAATGATTCGTGATGCTGAATATCTTTTCATGCGTATGTTCTTTGGAGAAATGTCTGTTTCAGTACTTTGCCCATTTTTGAATTGAGTTTATTGTGATTGAGTTTTAGGAGTTGTCTGTATATTCTGGATGTTAATCCCTTACAGGTGGTGTGGTTTGAAAACATTTTCTCCCATTCTGTGGGTTGTCTTTTTACTTTGATAATATCGTCTTAAAAGTTCTTTTTCCTTGCCATGTGAAGTAACTGATGTTGTCTTTTGAGTCACAATATTTCAAAATTTTCATAAAGTCTAACTTGTTTATTTTTTCTGTAGTAGCCTGTGCCGTTGTTGTCACATCTAAAGAATCACTGCCAAATCCGATGTTGTGAAGTTTTCCTTTGTGTTTTCTTCTAAGACTTTAATTAAATTTTATTTGTCAATATTTAGGACTGACAAAAGCTTTTTAACATTCCTGGCACCATCTCAGTTATTGATCTACTCCCAAGATGGATCATTTCAATTAAAACATGTAAAGCATGACCTCACCTGAATGTGTTTGAACTTGCTCTTCTCCCTTTCAAATCGACTCCCTCACTTACATAGTTTGTGTTCAAATGTCAACAAATAAAACATAAAAAGAAATCAATCTTTTCATAGACCCTTTATCTAAAATAGAATAGTAGGTGCCATGACATTTCATCCTTTCATCTTGAATTATTTACTTTTCTACATGAACCAATCCATTCTTCTGTGTGCATGTGTGTGTGTGTGTGTGTGTAGTTTATCTGTCTACATATAATGTAAACACCAAAAAATAACAGACATTTAGTAATTTTCAAATGAGACTTCAGGAATTAACAATGGCTTGCCATTTTTAGTGTGTTATTATTATTATATTTAGATGAACAGAATTGCCTCAGGAACATGGCCAGGGGCTCATAGTCCAGGAGAACTGTGGCCTGACTCAGGTACATTTTACCTGCAATAACAGCAATTGCAGGTCACTGGAGTCCATCACAATTGGCTGGAGACAAATGTAAGACAAGAATATTTGCAGTTTCCCCAGACTGACACAGTTGCAGGTTCCCCGAAGTAATGAGTCCTGAGACACCTCCAACAAGAGCTAGAAAAGGTATCACTTCAAGAGGAGTTGCAGCCTACTCATTTTAGACAAATGGAGCAAAATTACAGTATCACATCTTTTCCTTTCTCCTTCATAGAATCTGGATGAACAGAACAGAAAGAGTTAATGGAATATAAGATTCCAATTCTCTGGCATGAGAAAATAGACAAGGAAAGGAAGATTCATCTTCATCACATCTCAGACATGCTTGGACACAGGGTCCAAGCACAAAAGAGAAACACATACTTCTTCCCATCCACACTGGGATCCAGGGTCTTCTCCCTCCTGTCAGGCCAGAACTGAGTCTCCACTCCCCAATTTAGTTCCCAGAGATGAAGCCCAATTTTCCTCTGTCTCAAGCTTTGAAGGCCAGCTTTAGCGTGTTCACCATGGATGAATGAAGGTGAGGTCAGAGGTTTGGGAAATGGTCAAGAATGAGGTGAGAAGAGAGCTGTGGAGGCATGGCCCCGGGGAGCTTGGTACCCCCCCATATCCAGAGCCTGTCTGGTCCAGGAGAGTTCCCAACCCTGTGAGCACCAACTCCGGATATTCTGGGCAGTGACCCGAGGGACAGCCTCTTATGAATACAGGCTGTTTTCCTCCAGTGTCTGCTGTGAAACCAGGATGTACAACATGGCCGTGTTCAACCCAACAATGGACTTAGGATTTTGCTGTACGCCAAAACTCAGTGTCCAACTTCCACTCTGTTTAGCTGGAAAAAGAAGGGGTTTGTTCCCATACATCTCACTCCTGTGTTCCTCTTTCAGTCTCAAAGCTCAGATGAAAACAATGAGTGTCACTTATTGTCAATCCTCTTCCCTGCCTTTTCCACACTCATCAGTATTACCGTTTACATTGAGACTAAAGATGGCCAATCACCACTTTTCTTCGGAAAAATCAACCTGATGTTGTACCTACTTTTTTAGAGGTGGAATCAACCTACCCTAAGATGCCAACTACATTTTACTGAATGGACTTTTGTGGATCCCCTCGATGTATATAGTGGCACCTTGAGGTATCATCCCTGTCTTTAGCAAATGAATATTATCCCAAGGACAATATTTCATCACAATTATTCGGGATGGACGAGTGGATATTGTGGTAGCAAGAACATTACTAAAAGTCACAGCTGATACAACACACTTGAAACCCATCTGGCCAATCTCCCACAGACAGAATGTCGCGCCATTCACTCCAGCCAGCTTCAGTCATGTTTCTTCCATTTCCACCTGTGGCCCCTCATGTCTCCACCAGGTCTTAGCCAGCATTGCCAAAAGAGCCAGGAAGACCAGACCAGCCACAACAATCCTGATGGAACTCTCCACAGTATAGTTCTGGAGAACAGGGGCTGGAGGGTGGGGGTAAGATCAGAGACCTTTCCATGTGGGCCAGGCCCCTCTCTCCCCAGAAGCTCTGAAATGGAGCTATTTCCCCATCTCACCTTCATAAAATTCTTCCTGTCCAGAACCCCTCTTCTCCCTATATCATCATGAGCACCTTCAGAAGTCTTTTGCCACAAAAAGAAATTTCTTTTGAAGATATACATTTTTTTGTACATTTCAAAAATGTTCCCAAACTAATTCTCCAAAGCAATAAATGTTTGTGTGTATTGCTGGGTAGGTTATGCATACAAGGAAAGGAAGCATAGTGAGTCTGATTTGGCAGAGGAAACATATGTGGAAATTATATCATTTACTCTCTTTACAAAATTAAGTACAAAATTGAAAACACTGGTAAGAAAGAATGAGCTATAGAGAAAGAAAACATCTGAGATGTTTGTTTCCAAGATGGCTGACTAAATGCTTTTCTGGCATGTCTCATCCACTTAGAAGAACGAGCAGAATCCAGAACAAAAACCATATGATCATCTCAATAGACATAAAGAAAAGCATCTGAAAAGAAATTCAACATCCTTACCTGATGAAAACCCTCAAAAACTTAGGCATAGAAAGAACATACCTCAAAATAATAAAAGCCATAGATGACATATCTAGAGTCAACATCATACTGAACAGGAAAAGTTAAAAGCACTCCTCTGAGAACTGGCACAAGACAAGGACACGGACATCCACCACTTCCTATCAACATAGTACTGGAAGCCTTGTCAGAGCTATTGGGCAACAGGAAGAATTAAAAATCCAAATTAGAAAAGAGGAAGTAAAATTATTTTTATTTCTGATGCTATGATCTTAAATCTAGAAAATCCTAAAGACCCTGCCAAAAATTCTTATGATTGATAAATGAACTAAGTAAAGTTTCAGAATACAAAATCAATATGTAAAAGCCGGTAGCATTTCTCTACACCTATAATGATCTAGCTGAGAACCAAATCAAGAAGGCAATGCCGTTTACAATAGATACGCAAAATTAAAACACTCAGGAATACATTTAACCAAGGTGGTGAAAGATCTGTACCAGGAAAGGTGTAAGACACCAATGAAAGCAATTATAGATAATACAAAAAAAAAAAAGAAAAAAAATCCCACGCTCATGGATCATAAGAATTAATATTGTTAAAATGACCATACTGCCTAAAGCAATCTACAGATTCAGTGCAATTCTTATATGAAAATAGTAACACCAGTTTTCACAGAATTAGAAAAAGCAATCCTAAAATTCATACAGAACCAAAAAAGATCCTAATAGAGAAAGCAATTCTAGGTGAATGTAGAAACCTGGAGGCATCACGCTATCTGACTTCAAACTATGCTCTAAGGCTATAGTAACTTAAATAGCACAGTGCTGGTATAGACACAGAAACAGAGATCAATAGACCAGAATAGAGAGCCCAGAAATACAGCCTCATATCTACAGTGAATAATCATTGACGACGTTAACAAAACATACACTGGAGAAAGATTTCCTTTTCAATAAAAGGTGCTGGGAAAACTAAATAGCCATATGCAGAAGAATAAAACTGGACCTGTATCTGTAATCATACACATAAATTAACTTAAGGTAATTAGCAGCTTAAATGTAAATCCAGAACTATAAAATCACCGGTGGAAACCCAAAGAGAAACTCTTCTGGGCATTGGTCTGGGCAAAGAATTCATCACTAAGACCTCAAAAGCACAGGCAATAAAAATAAAACTAGACCAATGGGACTTAATAAACGAAAGAGCTTCTGCCAAGCAAAGGAAATAGTAGCAGGGTGAACAGACAACCCACAGAATGAATGGAAATGTTTGCAAACTATGCACCCAACAGAGGACTAACATCCAGAATTTCTAGGCAACTCAAACAACTAAACATAACCCCTCAAATAATAGCATTAAAAAGTGGGCAAAGGGATATACATAGACATTTTTCAAAAGAAGACATACGAATGGCCAAACAGCGTATGAACATCACTAATCATCAGAGAAATGCAAATTGAAACCACAATGAGATATCATCTTACAGTAGTCAGAATGGCTATTACTAAAAATGCTGGTGGGGAGTGGTGGCTCACGCTTGTAATCCCAGCACTTTGGGAAGCTGAGGCGGGTGGATCATGAGGTCAGGAGTTTGAGACCAGCCTGACCAACATAGTGAAACCCCATCTCTACTAAATATACAAAAGATTAGCTGGGCATGGTGGTGTGGTTCTGTAATCCCAGCTACTCAGGAGGCTGAGGCAGGAGAATCATTTGAACCTGGTTGGTGGAGGTTGCAGCGCGTGGAGATGGCGGCACTGCACTCCAGCCTGGGTGACAGTGGAAGACTCCATCTCAAAAAGAAAAAAAGAAAAAGTGAAACATATAACAGGTGTTGGCAAGGATGCAGAGAAAAGGAAACTCTTATACACTGTTGGCCGGTATGTAAATTAGTATAGCCTCTATGGAAGACAGTATGGAAATTTGGCAGAGAACCAAAAATAGAAGCACCATTCGATCTAGGGGTCCCGCTGCTGGGTATCTACTCAAAAAATATCTGCACCTGTATGTTTATTGCAGCACTGTTTGCAATAGCAAAGATATGAAATCAATCTAAGTGTCTGTGAATGAATGATTGGATTAAAAAAAGGATGCGTGTATACACAACGAAATACTATTTGGTCATAAAAATAAAACCATGTCTTTTGCAGCAACATAGATGGAGCTGGACGCCATTATTTTACATAAAACCACTCAGAAAGACAAATACCACATCTTCTCACTCTACATGGGAGGGGAGTAATGTGTACATATGGACGTAGAGTGTGGAATGACGGACAGCGGAGGCTAGAAGGCTGGAGGGTGGCGGGACGTGGGTGAGTGATGAGAATTTGCTTAATGAGTACAATGTACGGTATTTGGGTGATGGATATAGTAAAAGTCCTGACTTCACTACTCTGCAACATATTCATGTCACAAAATTACAAGTGTACCTCATAAATTTATACTAATAGAAAAGAAAGTCTGTACACAGTAATCAATTGTGATATGTAGATAAAGTCAATATTAAATTTAAACCAGAATAACTAGTTAAAATGTTGTGTACACAACAGTGAAGAGAGTATTTATCCTCTATGACAGAGGAAACCATCAATATTAATGCACAGAAAAAGCAAATAACTGAAACAAGAAAGAGCAGTTTTGTGACAGGGTAAAAATTGACAACAGTTTTAGAATGCTCCTAACTTGAGTTCCAAAAAGAAAGAACGAGAAAACAGGTCAGAAGCAATCTTTAAAGAGGCAATTGTTGATTATTTGGAGGAAGTAGACACATCCATCAATCCACAGGTTCAAGAAATCCAGTGAATGCCAGGCAGAATGAAGTAAACACACCTCACGTTCAACATTACAGAAAAGCAGCATAAAAGCACAACCAACCCTTAAAATTAGCCAGAGGAAAAGGATCAGCTGGTAAGGATTTATAGGGAGCCAAGCATTGTCTTCCCCACAGAAAAAAGGAAAACATAAGCCAGTAGAATAGCATCTTTACCCAGCTAAGATACCGTCGCCAGCCACCGACAATTCCTTACATAGTACAGTTACTGTCCAAGATCAACGCAGGAAAGAAACAGAACTGAAAGACAAAAGGGCAAAGAAAGCTTTTCTCACTGACCCTAAAGGAAATTCTGATGACCGTGCCTCAAAGATAAAGAAAGTGAAACCAGATGGGGTGTCGAAGATTCTGACAATAACTAAGAGCAGAGGAAGAACTAAAAATATGGCTATGCCAAAAATGAATATGGACCATACGATAGTGTATGAAAACACGCCCCTGTGTAATTTCTGAAAAAGATAGAATTATGTATACCACAAAACAAAACATCATATAAGTAAATACAAACATATGTACTAAATATGCTCTAAAATCCTGTTCTTACACAGGAAGAGTGGAAATATGTTTTTATATTTGCAGTTTAATCTCTGAAATGATTAATTTCAATTTTAAAAATATGTAACAACTTCAGGATGAGTACACCATATATGTATTCCTAAACGACATAGATCAAAAATAGAATGTTTGAAATAGAAAACCACAGAAGTCAGTGGGAAAAAAAGGGAATCAGGAAAACACAACGTAATAATAACAAAAATATGATTGGAAGAACTGCTCAAACATGAACAAAAGATTGTCAGAAAGTCTTACTTTCTAAGGCGAATTGTTTGAAATTTACAAAGGACACATCTCAATGTTAACAATTCATGGAGTTTGAAATTAAACAATGTAGAAATATACCAAGCAATCACTGTTAGAAATGTGGTATAACTATATTAAAATTAGACAAAATTAGTCTTTGGGAAAAATCAGCGGAAAACATTAAGCATAAAATGTAGGAAAAAAGCAGGTAAATTTATAGCATTTTAAATTTACCAGGAATATATAATCAGTTTACACTTAACCACTCCCAGTAATATTCCTGCAAATATACATGGAGGAAGAGTCGCGGAAATAAATGGACAGGTAGGCAAATCCACGGCCACAGTGGGGTGTTTAACACTCCTCTTTTCTCAGTTGTTGATAGAAGTGGTTCAGGCAATTAGAGAGGATTTAGAAAGATAATTGCTGGACCTGACCCAAGGTATAAGTCCACTCCCAACCACAGGACTCACTTTCCTTACAAGCACAAGGGCATTTAGAAATCTCTCTGGATTCTGACCAGCCCTCACCATATGGCAGGTCCATGGACTTCTTGGAACACACCAAGCTCATTCTCACATTAGGGTCATCCCCAATGTCCTAAGTCCATGAAAGTTCCTTTCAATACACTCCCCAGGGCTCACTCCCTCTTGTCTCTAAGATCGGAGTTTAAATGTGATCTCTCTGATGAGGTCTCAGTGAGACGTTCCCTCCTGTACACTCCAAATGACAACGTTCCACGTTCATTCATTTCATTCTGTGCATGGCACTTTCACCAAGTGCTAAGGATTCACTCACTAATTCATACATTCATTCATTCATTCATTCACTCATTCCATCATTCACTCATTCATTCATTCTCTCATTCATTCATTCATGTTCTGCCTCTCTCTCCCACCCCACAGCAATGTGAGCATCATGAACCCAGGAGCTTGGCCGTGCTGTCTACTCCTGGCCATGAAACAGAGAGAACTGATGGTAGGTGTGAAATAAATATTAGATGAATGAGTTAGTGAAGGGGTCATTTACTGGGTGAGCTCAGTTCTCTCTACTCTAATGCCCTCCCTCGGCTGACTTCCCTGAGTTGCCCCCTCGGCTGAGTGAAGTCCCTTCACTGGCAAATGGAACCTCAACCAGTAGCACCTAGGTGGTCTCATACTTTGTTCTTTCCCTCTCCTCTTGCTCCCTAAGGATTATCAATCTCCATGACAGGGCTGGAGAGCAGACAAGCCACACATTCTTTCTGGGGAGAGAGTAACATGGAGTACAAGGCATTCCACATTTAGGAAGAGAACTCAGTTATGGAAGGTCAGAAATGAAAAGTTCCTACAGACCAACACCCAGGTTGGTGGCCACAGCCCTAAATGCTGATGGAGAATCACTGCAAGTCTGTAGGGAAGATGTCTGGCTTGAGGCCACTGAGCGAAGTGGCAGATCCTTCTCAGCCTTCAGTGCTGAGCCTCTGTCCCCTCAGGGATCCACTGACCAATGAGAAGAGCCTCTTCTCATCTCCTGGGATGGAGCTTGGGGCCCCTGGCGAAGGAATGGGCCTGTTTCCACCTGTCATGTTGTCATCTAGCTTGGAAATCCTGCGAGTCCCAGGGAGGCCCTCCCCGAGTCCCCAGAGAAGACTCCCCCACTGAGTCTCCAAGGTGTGGAGAGAGCAAAAAACATCTAGGGTGGAAAATGCCTCCCATCAAGAGACATTGGGGCTCCCCCAACGATGGTTGCATCTGTGCCCCCCATGTGGAAATCACTCTTTGGTGAGAGGTGGGGGCTTCTGGAAATGGGCAATGGCGGGCGGCCAATGCTAACCTCTAGTCTTTCCAATCTGAGCCCGGCCTTTCATGCTCCTGAGTCAGCATTGATGCTGTTTACATGTGTCCCAGGTGGGCTTCTGTACAAAGACTGGGAAGTGGTTTATGTGGCCTGTGCTCTATCTGCAAGCTTCAGGTAGGGTTGCAGTTACCACCCCAAACCCTAATGTGATCTGTCTGCCTCGCTCTGTCTGTCTGTCTATGCCTCTTTCTGTATGTTTGCTTTGTGTCTCTTCTGTCCAGCATCTCTGGCTGACACCCCCATGGCCACCCCCTCCATCTGAGGCTCCCCTGAATGTGGCCATTGTAGTCCGTCTGAGTCCCACTATTTGGGGAACAGACTGGTTTCCTCACCTGTGACAGAAACAAGCAGTGGGTCACTAAGGTCTGACCACTCGTAGGGAGAGTCACGGAAAGAGCCGAAGCATCTGTAGGTCCCTCCGTGGGTGGCAGGGCCCAGAGGAAAGTTGGCCTGGAAGGTTCCATTGACCTTGGGCACTGCAGGGAACCTAAGTTCATGAGCCTCCCCCTCCCTTGATAGATGGTAGATGTCATAGGAGCTCCGGGAGCTGCAGGACAAGGTCACGCTCTCTCCTGCCTTAACCATGGGGCGCGGCTGGGCTGAGAGAGAAGGTTTCCCACATAGACCTGGAAGGAGAAGAGGCAGTTTCCTCAGGGAGGTTCTTCCTTGTCACAACTCCCCTCCCACCTGAGCTGAGAACTCACTCCCCTGCTCTATGGCCTAATGCTCTCTCTCTCTGTCTCACCCTCCACACCATCTCTCTTTATGTCTATTTCCTCTTTCCACCTTCTCTGTCTCTCTAGGTCTCTGACCTCACTTTCTCACCTCTAGATATGTTTTCCCTTTTTGGATTGTTTTATTCTCTCTGACTCTCCTTGGACTAGTTGACTTGATGTTACTTTTTTTAAATTCTGAGTTTCTCACTTTGTGTCCTGTTCATAACTTTCTGCATATTTCTATCTATTATCTATCGATATATCTATTTATCTATTTGGTGCCTATCTACAAATTCTCTACCTGTCATCTATATCTATATATAATCTATTTATCTATCAATTGTCTATCCAAAAATCATCTATTATCTATATCTATGTATCGTCTCTCTCTCTCTATGATTTCTCTTTGTCTGCCTCTCTATCTCTATGTATTATCTATCTATCTTCATCTTCATCATCTCTATGTATCATCGATTAATCAATGAATGAATCAATCATCATCTATGTATCTATAACCTATTATCTATCATCTACCTATTTATCATCTATCTATATCTATCCATCTATCATCTGTCTTGCTCTGCCTCTCGGTCTCTCTAGTTCTCTTTGGAATCTCTGCAATTCATCCCCACATCTCCATCTTTCTATGTCCTTGTGTCTCTCCCTCAGGACTCTAATTTTAGTGCTTTTCTCTGTTCCCTTCCATTGTTCTCTCCACTTCTCTGCCCTCTTTTCTCCCTCTTTATGTGTCTGTGAGTCTCTCAATCTCCTTCCTCTGGCTCATTCTCTGTGTGTTTATGTCTTTGCTTTTTGGTGTCCCTGATTTCTCTCTGTGTCTCTCAGTGATCCTCTCATATGTGGGGTTATTTGGAATGTGAGCCTCAGAATCCAGTCTGGGGACCGCAAGTTCACACAGTATACAGGGGTTGATGTTCTGGGGCCATGATATCCTGGGACGATTACTCTCCATTGCATGGAAGGCAGAGGTGTCAGAATAAACACGGCATCTGTAGGTGCCAGAAGGCCTGAGGCCACAGGGCCCAACTCAGGCCAGAAATATGGGTGTCCTTGGGTTCTTCTGGTAGAGAACACTTTGTGGAAGTAAAACAGAAATGAAACTTCTAACCTGTGCCAGGTCTCTGAGCAAAGTCAGCATGGAAGGACACCTCTCTCTGGCACATGTCTGTCTGTGTCTCCTTTAACTCTTTCTGTCTTTTCTAACTCCCTGTATGGCCCCTGTGTCTGTCCTCTGTTATGACACCTGGTCTGTACTTGTGTCTCCTGTTTCTCTGTCTCTGTTGGTACAGACCTCACCAAGTTAGTCTCTCTCCATAAGAATACCAAGCTCATCTTCCTTATAACCACCTGGGCCTCCAAGTCGTGGATCATTCACTCTGTGTCCCAGTGACAATGAGAATAATGTCCAGACACTCTCACCTGTAATCACGATGTCCAGAGGGTCACTGGGAGCTGACAACTGATAGGGGGAATGAGGAACAGAACCGTAGCATCTGTAGGTCCCTGCAAGGTCTTGCGTCATGCGACCGATGGAGAAGTTGGCCTTGGAGACCCCATCATGGAGCTCTCCAGTGAGGCGCAAAGTGTCATTAAACTTCCCCTCTCTGTGCAGAAGGAAGTGCTCAAACATGACATCTGACCAACATTGCAGGATGACTGTCTCTTCTGATTTCACCAGGGGACCTGGGTGGGCCAGGAGGGAAGGTTTTCTGTGGACTCCTAGGAAGAGAGGTTGTGACTTTAGAAGGCATCTCTCTTTATCATCCCATCCATGGCACCTAGAATGAGTGAGGCTTCCCCTCGCTGGTGTCTTATCTCTCTCCTTCCTCTCTGTGTCTTCATGTTCTTTTCTGTGCCCATAACTCCTGGTACAGGTCCTTCCATCTGTCTCCCTCCCTCTTCTCTGTCCCTCTGTCTCTAGTAGCTCCTGATTCCCTTGCCGCTGGGCTCAGCCTCATCTCTTGGGCTGTTGTATCTATTTCGAACTAATGTCTTTCCTGCTTCTATGTGGGGGTGGAAGAGGAACCAGGATAGGCTGCACGTCCAGGCTCTTAGCAGACTGGTTCAATCTCTTTTGGACGAATTGGAATCCTTGGCAGAAGGTATGAACTGATCAGTAAGGCAGGCACCAGTGTCCACACACCCTGTTCCTGGTGGGGACTGGGAGCCACTCTTGCCATGCCTGTGCCTTCTCCATGGTGCCAGCTTCCATAGGCTGGCTTCTGGTGCTGGTTTGAGGAGTATCAACCCCTCCCTATGTGGATGGAGCCTGGTGGTGGCATCATCATCCCACCCTTGCTGATCTCGGTGTAGCCAACCTTCTCTTTGTTTGGTTTCTTTAATTAATTAATTAATTTTGGAGTCAGAGTCTCACTCCTTCACCCAGGCTGGAGTGAAGTGGTGTGGTCTAGGCTCACTGCAACCTCTGTCTCCTGGGTTCAAGTGATTCTCCTGCCCTCAGCCTCCTGAGTTGCTAGGATTACATGCACCTGCCACCACGCCCGGCTATCCTTGTGTCCTTTCTTATCTTGTCCTTGACCTGGGTTCCAGTGTTGGTTTCCTGTTGGTGCTGTGGAAAATTATCAGAAGCATGGCAGCAGGAGAGAGCACACTGACCCCTTCCGTTTCTGGAGACAGAAATCGGACCCTGTTTTTTGAGGGCTAAAATCAAGGCATCTGCAGGGCTGCGTTCCCTCTGGAGACCCAGGAGAATCAGTTCCTTGACTTTTCCAGCCTCTATAGGCCACCTGCATTCATGGCTCATGGCCTTCCTCCACCTTCAAAGCTGATGGAGACTTCCATTGCACTGCTCTAATCGCCACTCCCCTCTTCCTTCTCCTCTCATGTGCACCCTTGTGATTACACTGAGCCCAGCAGGACAGTCCAGGCTGTCTCCCCATCTCAAGGTCAACTCAACAACCTGAGCTCCATCTTCCCCTTCAGTGCCTTCCCCTATAACATAAATAGTCACAGACTGCAGGGATTAGAATGCAGTCATCATTGGGGACAATTATTCTTTCCACCACAGCACCCATTTCCCTGTATTCAATCCCCTTTTACCCCAAATACAGTTAGGGTCTGGATGATGGGACGCTGGTGGACACTCCCACCAGAAGCTCTGGGACTCAGGAGGTGGGACAAGGAGAATCCCAGACAGGAGCCCTCTGACCTGTGACCATGATCACCAGGGGGTTGCTGGGTGCTGACCACCCAGTGAGGAAGTGTGGGTGTGAACCCCGACATCTGTAGGTCCCTGCATGTGCTGGGGTCACAGGGCCTATGAAAACGGTGTTTCGGAATACTCTGTTGTAGAGCTCAGGGACAGGCATCCCGTCTTCTTTGGACAGACTGAATTCGTTAAACCCAAGACGAGAGCGACACTGAAGAGCCACATGTTCTCCTTCAGACACCACAGGGCTGGGCCAGGCAGAGAGGAAGGGCTTGTCCTGACCACCTGGGGGAGAAGGAGGCGCCACCTTAGAGAGGAGGATGTGGCACTCCCTCCCTCTATTCCTTTCCAGGACTCACCAACACACGCCATGCTGACGACCATGAGCGACATGGTGCTGCCGGTGCAGACAGGCGGCCGCGCCCCAGCTCAGCTCAGCAGCGCACAGGATGTTATTTGGCGCCCTGCCCATGCAGCTTACATGTTGACTACATCATGGGAGGGTGACGTACGCAGGCTCTTTCTACCTTGCATGAGGCCCAGTGGATGCTTGCTCAAGAGCGGAACACGGCTTCCTGGAAATTGTTCTCACTAGAATTGGCACCTCACGTCCTTCACTATGACCAACTCACAACACGTCTCAGATCCAACCTCCCGAACACAAGATGCCTAAAATCTGTGCTAACGTGAAAGACTTTTCATGTATTTTTATCCGAACACGAGATGCCTAAAATCTGTGCTAACATGAAAGACTTTTCATGTATTTTTTTTGTTTTTATCTGAGATTCAAACTCTTCTTCCTGTGTAATATGCAAAGTATCTAATAGGTATTATTAATGTTTTCGGAGTCATTGTGACTAATAAACCATTAGAATTTTTCATGCTTGTATTTCTAGTATTACAGCAGAACCAGCTAAAATGATTTAAATTCCCAGGGAAGGATTATGCAATTATTTACAATCTTAGAATTGTACTTTATCAGCAAAAACCACACCTGTAAATTCTGGAGTTTTGTAGTTTAATCTAAAATTTGTCTCATGACCCAAGATTCCAGAGTCCCAACTCTGGAGTTTGCTCTCTGTCTGTCTCTCTCCCTCCCTCGTTTTAAATTTTACAGAAATATCCAGTAACATAATGCTATAGAAAATCAAGTTTTCCCCAGCACGTTGGGAAGCCGAGGTGGGCGGATCAACTGAGATAAGGAGTTTGAGAGCAGCCTGGCCAATATAGTGAAACCGTGTCTCTGTTAAAAATCCAAAAATTAGCCGTGCCTGGTGGCAGGCACCTGTAACGCCAGCTACTCAAGAGGCTGAGGCACGAGAATCGCTTGAACCTGGGAGGCGGAGGTTGCAGTGAGCTGAGATTGTGCCACTGCAGTCCAGCCTGGGCGACAGAGCAAGACTCCGCCTCAAGAAAAAAAAAGCAAACAGCCTATAATAACAAATTAGAGGGCTCTGGCTACTAAATTTAAAGGGTTCTATAAGGCTACATAAAGTGCAGCATCATCAAGAGTGTGGACACAGAGAGCCCCTTAGCAGAAACAGTGTCTAAAATACATCCATGTACACACAGTCCCTTTAGAGTTGACAAAGGCTGCCGTGTGGTTTAAGGTGGCATAGAATGTCTTCTCAATAAATAATATTAAACCAATTGGTTACACCTAGGAAAAAATAAATCTAACTCACACTATAAAAACACTTCTTAGTTTTTATCTAGTTGTACATTTTTTATGATTTATATTTAAATTTGAGAAATAAAAGTCATATACGGTCATCCTTCACTATTCGTGGGTGATTGGTTTTGAGATCTCCACTCAGATACCAAAATCTGTAGATGCTCAAGCCTCTTATATGAAATGGCACAGCGTTTGCAAATAACCTATGCACATCCTCCTGTATACATGAAATCATCTCTAGATTACTTATAATTCCTGATACAGCCTACACACAGCTTCATTTGTGTCCATTCAACATAGTTATGCTTTTTGAAACTCTGTGGATACTTTCTCTCAATATTTTTGATTTATACTTGGTTCAATAAACACCTGTAAACCCCGCAGATATGGAGGAGTGACCGTATATTTATATTATGAAAGATGATGTGTTGATATGTGTCCCCATGGAGATGAGACTAACAAGGCCTATGATTCTACAAATGTTTCATTGTGGAATGACTCTGCCAGCTTTCCAGGTCTGCAGAGAGTAAGAGTATCACTTGTTCATATGATTCGTGATCCTTGGAACCTCCTATGTGCTACATCTTTGGATGGAAATTGGAGTCCCAGAGACAAATGAGGCTCCACCCTGCTTCCAGAAACTCAGAGTCCGGGGATGAGAACTCAGTGGGGAACAGATGGGATTATATGGACATGGTACTGATAACACCGGAAGCCTTAGGCAAGAAAAGAGTCCCATTACCGAAACCATGGGGGCAGACATGTTTATTTGAAGGATGGAAAACTACATTGAAGTTATTTTAAAAAATATATAAGTTTTACTGCTGACAGAAGACTGAAAGCTAGTCTGAGGGGAGGTGGAACAGCATGAGGGAAGGTGGAACAACACGTGTCTAAGTGCTGCGTTAAGAGGGAGCCTCTTGTATGTTTGGAATTGTGAGTTCCTCAGTGTGATTGCAGCCTCAAGTAGACTAGGAAGTAAGCCAGTTAGGTTGGAGAGGTGGGCAGGGGTCAAGTGAAATGGAGAACTGTGGGTTAAGCAAAGGGGTGTGTTTTTTCTCCAGCAGGCAGTGGGGACCTTAGACATTTGTAAGCAAGTGAGAGGCACATTCAGATTTGTGGTGTGAGGAAGATCGATGCCCTAAGATGCAGACTCACGCCTTCAGATTCCAGCTGCTGGTACATGGGAGCTGGCAACCCGGTTTTGAGACAGGGCTGTTGTCTCCCTAGAAGACGCCCTCAAGGCCTGACTGTGGTGCTCATGGGCAGGAGACAACTTTGGATCTGGACTCAGCATTTGGAAGTTCCGTGTACACGATGATATCTGTTGGGGGTGTCTTGGGCCTCTGAGAAGGGCGAGTGATTTTTCTCTGTGTGAAAACGCAGTGATTCAACTGTGTGTATGTCACCTCCTGAGGGTCTTGTTCATCAGAGTCCTGGAGAGAGGGAAATGCTGAGTGAGGGAGGGTGCTCACATTTTCCAGGACTCTTTGGGAATAACAGTAGCCACGAGCCCGGGCCGAGGAGTACCTACCTCGCTATTCGCTGTTCTGTTTCCTGCAGACTCTTGGTCCATTACCGCAGCATCTGTAGAAGATGGAAGTCAACAAAACAGCTCGGAGGGCACTTCTGGGTCCTCATTTCATAAGCAGATACCAACATACAGGGGGAGACCATAGGTGGCTGAGGTCCCTCAGTTGCCAACAGCAGACTCAGACATTCTATCTCTCTGAGCTCAAGGACCCATCCCATGAATAGCTCTGAGTTCCCATCCCATTGATTCTGTCTCCCACTTTCTGCCTGTCATGGAACCTTCTCCTGGATGTGAGTGGCTGCAGGGGACATGGGGATACAGTTCAGAATCAGGCAACGGTCTGTGAGTTGAAGGCAGGGACAGGGAGTCTGGTGCCCTCTCTAGAAAGTCCTGCCTCTGTGGCTGCTGCCTTGGGCCAGGGACCATCCTGTTTGTGAGGAACACACACCTGAGTGCTCCCATCCTGCTTCCCCACATGGCCCTGAGCTCTCTGGCCTCTGCTTCGTGAGACTTACTTTTTTTGTTGGAGCACCAGCGATGAAGGAGAAAGAAGAGGAGGATGAAGAGGATGATGACCACTGAGGTCCCAATCAGAATGTGCAGGTGTCGGGGGTTACCTGGAAGAAGATGAGACACCAATAAGAAGCTAATCTTAGCAGTTCCTCTTTATGAATTGTCTCGCATTTCTTGATTGACAGGTAACCACATAAAACACCTCTTTAGGACAAGCACCCAGATGGCAGGAGACCCAGCTTTCTCCTGCTTTTTCAGTTATAGCTCTCATAGTAACCATAGAACGTGCTGAGGATACGACTACTTTAGTTGAGATGTTTGACCCCTTCAAACCTCACATTGAAATTTCACCCCCACTGTGGGAGGTTGGGCCTCTTGAGAGGTGTTTGGGTCATGGAGGTGGATCCATCATGAACACATCAATGCTGTCCCAAGGAGACGGGGTTAGCAAGTTCCCCCTCTATTAGTTCCCGGAGAGCTGGTTGTTAAAAAGAGCTTGGAAGCTCCATCACTCCCCCTCCCCCTTGCTCCCTCTCTTGCCGTGTGATCTCTGTGGTCTCTGCACAGACAGACCCTCCTTCCCTTCTGCCAGAGTGGGAGCAGCCTGAGGCCGTCACGAGAAATAGATGCTGGTGCCATGCTTCCAGTACAGCCTGCAGAACGGTGAGGCAAACCAATCTCTTTTCTTTAGAAGTTACCGAGGCTCAAGTGTTCCTTTAGAGCAACAAAAATGGCCTAAGACAGCAACTTCCTGAGATCAGGAGGAACGTCTCAGAACACCCTGGGCTGTCTTCCTGTTCTTCCTGGAGGACGTCATGCAGTGCTTTAGCTGAGTGCTTCCTGTGGCTCCAGGGTACAAAACCCAGGCTGGGCTGCTTTCTGGCTTCCCGCAGCTACACTGCAAATGGGGTGACTCCATATGTCCCGAGGAGCTTTTCTGAGCCTTGAGGGACTGGGTCACATTGAAATATAGGTTTCTGTTGTCACTCGCTGCTTATCTGTTAGTAATGAACCTGCCTATGTAACGTATTCTCTGTGTGTTCTGTCTCCCTGGAGTGACGGTGAGTGATAGGAATTGGCATAGGCCCAGGTGCAGTCCAGGAGGTGTTTAGAGTCTTCTCTGGGAAGACTGGACTGGGATTGATTCACAGCGAATGTGCTTTAGGGTTTCTACATCCACAGCATTCTTGAATCAAACAACTTGCATTCTCCAAGGAAAGAAAACAAAAGTGAAATCAAGATAAAAAAAGCGAAATAGAATTCTCTTATGTCAAATGGCCAGGAAATAGTGTTGAAGCCCGTGTGAAACCTGCTGCTCTTTGTGATCTCGGGAGACACATATTAGGCTGCTGTTCTACCCGAGAGGCTGGGGGAAGGACCACCCCCTCGGCCATCTATTGCTTCAAAACCACCTGTCCTCCTGTGAATTAGTAGGAAAGGGGAGCAGGAGCTAGTGCTGTCGCTGATCTCTGATTCCAAGATCTGGACTCACTCCAAGGAGTGTTAATGTTTACCTCCCCATGGTCTATCTGAATCTCCACAGGTGATTGGAAGTAGGGGTGAGGTGGGGGATTTGGGTGAGTGGGCAAGTTTTTTTTGTGATGACCAGAGCACTTTCTCTATTCCAGGATCTGTGCTGGAGGATTCAGCGGGCTTTCACATTTTCTATATGATCTCATGCTCACAGAAAGCCAAATAGGGAAGAGGTTTTAGGCTCATTGCCTAATGGATAAGATAAAGGATCAAAGAAGTAATTATAGAGAAATAGAAAAACGATGATTGGAATTCAGGTGCCTTTGTCATTCGTGTGTGTTTTATTATATTTATGTATTTCTTATTTTTATTTTTTGAGATAGAGTCTCCTTGTGTCCCCCAGGCTGGAGTGCAGTGATGCAATCTCCACTCACTGCAACCTCCACCTACTGGGTTGAAGTCATTCTCCTGCTTCATCCTCCAGAATAGGAGCTGGGATTACAGGGATGCACCATCGTGCTCGGCTAATTTTTGTATTTTTAGTAGAGATAGGGTTTCACCACGTTGGCCAGGCTGGTCTGGAACTCCTGACTTCATGGAATCCACCCACCTTGGCCTCCTGCAGTGCTAGGTTACAGGCGTGAGCCACTGTTCACAGACTTGTATATTATGCTATAATAAGTCTCTTCATTTCCACCACCACTCATATATCTGTCACTCCTTTGCCAGGTATTGATTTATGTGTAGGATGAATAAATCTCAGAAAGAAATTAATTAAGCGAGGATTAAACAAGTAGGAAAATCAAACCCAGTAAGCCTTTCCAGTCAATGATTCTACCTCACAAACATATCTTATATCCATCTACTTCATTCATTTAGTGTCTAAATCAGCACCACATTTCACCAGTGGGGCGGCAATTGCCTTTTCCACGGTCTCCTAGATTCCAGTTATGCACCTGGGCCTCCCTTATTTTCATGTCAGTCATATTAATCATGTAGGGATTCCTGGTTACCCCGAGGTGAATCCAATGGCTGTGAGTGTCAAACACACACTCCTTGTTGCTCCTTAGTTTCCTGTGTACCCAGTGTGCTCTCCGTCTCTCTACAGTCGTCTTGTCATTCTCCCCACCTCATTCCCAGCATTTGAGTCAGAGCCTCTTCCTTCCACATCAGATTGTTTTCACCTTTGTGCCTTCATGGCTGACAGCTGTGTGTGCAAAATCCTTCCGCCAATCTTTCAGGGGTTCATTCCGTGTTTTTCATTAATGTCACAAATATCTGAATAGTGAGACCTTCTTTGTCACCTGAAATCATACACTCAGCATTATCTATTATTGATTTTGAATTCTGGCTGGGCACAGTGGCTCACGCCTGTAGTCCCATTACTTTGGCATGCTGAGACGGTCGGATCACTTGAGGTTGGGAGTTTCAGACAAGCTTGGCCAACGTGGTGAAACATCCTCTCTACAAAAAATATACAAAAAGAATTAGCCGGGCACGGTGGCAGTTGCCTGTAATCCCAGCTACTCGAGAGGCGGAGGCAGGAGAATCACTTGAATCCAGGAGACGCAGGTTGCAGTGAGCCAAGATCGTGACACTGCACTGTAGCCTGGAAGACAGAGGGCGACTCTGTCTCAATAAACAAAAGAACAAACAAAAAATAGATTTCATGCACAGATGCTTCCCAATGGACCATTCATTTATAGATCCACTTGTGCGTTCATTTTCTGCCCTCCCATTTAACCATCTGCAATATCAGTGTCCCAAGGGCAGAGGCCAAATGCATCTTGTTCACTGTTTGTGGAAGGCAGGAGAATGCTGTCCCACCCCAAAATGTCCCTGTCCTAGCCTCCATAGCTTGTGAATATGTTATTTTACATGGAAAGGAGGAATGAAGATTGCAGATGGAATTATGGTTGCTAATCAGCTGAACTTAAAACAAGGGTATCCTGGATGATTTCCAGGAGATTATGAGGGATTTTCATCTTGGTGAACCCAATAGAATCCCCAAGTTTTCAAAAGATGAGGAAGAAGGGAGAGCAGCACTCAGAGAAAGAGGTGTGGTAAGGAAGAAGGCACTGAGTGATGCCATGTGAGATGTGACCAGTCTTTGTGGGCTTTGAGGAAGGAGGAAGGGGACCAGGAGCCAAGGAACTGGGAGCCTTTAGAAGCTGGGACAAGTGAGAAGCAGATTCGTGCCTGGAATCCTCAGAGGGAAGGCAGCCTTGCTGTCACCTTGATTTTAGCCCAGTAAGATGCACTTCCTACTTTGAGCTACAGCACTGTAAGATAATTAAAAAACCGTTTTGTTTTCACCCACGAATCTTGTGGAAATTTGTTATGGCAACAATAGGAAAAGGTTCCACACTGCACAGCCTGAGCATGGGGCCGTGGCTGAATGAGTCAGTGAGTCGAAGTGTGCGTGCATGAGCTCTGTTCTCTGTTACGGCAAGGCTCTTTCTCTGCGGAGTCAGCCAGGGTTGCTTCATGACCTACAGGAGCTCATTCCTTGGCAAGTGGAACTTCTCTAAAACACCTTGCCCTCATCAGATGTTCCCTTCCCTTCCCTCTCTCAAGTCTCCAGGAATTTATCCTCCAGTTAGGAATGCAGGTAGAACAAACATTGCATTTTTCCTGAGAAGGATGTCAGATTGGCAATCATTCTTCTAGCTTGTAGGAGGTCTCAGCTCCATAAAATGAGAGATGAAGAGATTTCACTGAGCCCTGTGTTGGGCCCAGATCCCTTTCGCTGTAGGAGTATCTGGAGTTCGGAGATGGTGGAAGACAAGTGTACAATGTCAGAGCTGTGAGATGCTGAGTCAACGCCTGAATCCAAGGTTCCCACCTCCCCAGGGTTCCAAAAGCGGATATAAGAGGGTTCTGTACTCACCGGTTTTGGAGCTTGGTTCAGTGGGTGAAGGCCAACTATTTGAAGGGTTTCCTAGAACATGAGACAGGAGAGAGGTGAGGAAATGAGGGTGTCTGTCCTCCACTCAGTGGAAATCTTTGAGGATGGTTCATGGCCAACACTCTCTTATCTAATATTGAGCCCTGGGAGTCCTGGGATCCTTTTTTCCATAATTTTTTTATATGACACCCACTGTCTTGAGACTTCAAGATATAAAGAGAAAACAGGAGCATCACACTACCTGATCTCAAAATATGTTACAGAGCTGTAGTAAGCAAAATAGCATGACATTGGCATAAAGAAAGGCACATAGAACAACGGAGCAGAATGAATAACACAGATATATTCCATGCATTTACATCCAATGGTTTTTTATTTTTTCTTTTGAGATGGAGTCTTGCTCTGTCACTCAGGCTGGAGTGCAGAGGTGCAATCTCGGTTCACTGCAACCTCAGCCTCCTGGGTTCAATCATTCTCTTGCCTCAAATTCCTGAGTAGTGGTATTACAGGTGCTGACCACCATGCTCAGCTAATTTTTATATTTTTAGTGGAGACGATGTTTCATCACGTTGGCCAGACTAATCTTGAACTCCTGGCCTCAGGTGATCCACCCACCTCGGGCTCCCAAAGTGCTGAAATTGCAGGTGTTAGCCACCAAGCCCAGCCCATCCAATGGACTTTGACAAAGATGCCAAGAACTCACAATCAGGAAAGGACAGTCTTTTCAATAAACAGTGCAGGGAAACCTGGACATCTACATGCAGAGGAATGAAACTGCAACTCTACCTGTCACCATACACAAAAATCAAATGAAAATGGATTAAAGATGTGAGTCTAAGGCCTGAACCTATGAAACACGTAGAACAAAATATTGGGGAAATGCTCCAGGACGTTTGTCTGAAGGAAGACATTTTGTTTTAAACCTTCAAAACACAAGTAATCGAAGCAAAAATAGACCATTGGGATTACCTCAAACTAAGCAACTTCAGCACTGCTAAAAATAAACCAACAAAGTGAAGAGACAACCCACAGATTGGGAGCAAATATGTGCAAACTATGCATCTGAGATGGGATTAATAACTAGAAATATAAGAAGCTCAAACAACTCAATAAAACAAATGATTTAATTGAAAAAGGAGCAAAAGACATGAAATTTCCCCACATACGAAAAAGTGCTCAGTATCACTCATCATCAGAGAAACGCAAATTAAAATCAAAGTGAGTTTTCATCTCACCCCATTAAAATGGCTTTTAGGCCGGGTGAGGTGGCTCACTTGTGTCATCCTAGAACTTTGAGAACCTGAGGTGGGTGAATCTCATAAGGTTGGGAGTTTGAGACCAGTCTGACCCACATAGAGAAACGCTGTCTCTACTAAAAATACAAAAATTAGTAGGGCGTGGTGGCGTGTGCCTGTAATTCCAGCTACTCGGGAGGCTGAGGCAGGAGAATCGCTTGAACCTGGGAGGTGGAGGTTGTGGTGAGCCGAGATAGCGCCACTGCACTCCAGCCTGGGTGAGAAGAGCAAAACTCCATCTCAAAATAAAATGAAATAAAATAAAATGGCTTTTAGCTGCAAGACAGGCAAAAGAAATGCTGGCAAGGTGGTAGAGAAAGGAGAACCCTGGTACCCTGTTGGGAGGAGTGTAAATTAGTACAGCCATTACGGAGAAAAGTATGGAAGTCCTTTAAAGAACTAAAAAGAGGTTGGGTGAGGTGGATCATGCCTGTAATCCCGGCACTTTGGGAGACTGAGGCGGGCACCTCAGTTGAGGTCATGAGTTTGAGAGCAGCCCAGCCAACATGGGGAAACCGCATCTATACTAAAAAAACCAAAAAGTAGCCAGGCATGGTGGTGTGCACCTGTAATCCCAGCTACTAGGGAGGCTGAGGCAGGAAAATCATTTGAACCCAGGAGGCGGAGGTTGCAATGAGCCAAGGTTGCACCACTTTGACTCCAGCTTGGGCTAAGGAGGGAAACTCTTTCTCAAAAAAGAAAAAAAAAAAAAAAAGAGAACTTTCATAGTATCCAGCAATTTCACTACTGGGTTTATATCCAAAGGAAAGTAAATCAACATATCGAAGTGATATCTGCACTCGTATGATTGGTGCAGCACTGTTCACAGTAGCCAAGATGAGGAGTCAACCTACCTGCCCATCAGTGGGTGAATGGATAGAGAGAATGTAGTACATACGCACAGTGGAGACTACTCATCCATAGAAAGAATAACATCCTGTCATTTGCAGCCACATGGATGGAACTGGAGGTCATTACAAAGATTCCCATTTCTCACCCATATACAGGAGCTAAAAGGTGGATCTCATGAAGGTAGAGAGTAGAATGGTGGCTACTGGAGGACAGGAAGAAAAGGGTGGAGGGTAAAAAAAATGTATATATATATATATATAAAAATGTATTTATGACCACTAGACTTTACACTTAAAAATGGTAAATGTGGCTGGGCCTGGTGGCCCATGCCTGTAATCCCAGCACTTTGGGAGGCTGATGCGGGTGGATCACGTGGTCAGGAGTTCGAGACCAGCTCGACCAACATGGTGAAACCACCTCTCTACTAAAAATACAAAAAGTAGCCTGGCGTGGTGGTGTGTGCCTGTAGCACTAGCTACTCAGGTGGCTGAGGCAGGAGAATCGCTTGAACCCAGGAGGCGGAGGTTGCAGTGAGCTGAGATTGTGCCACTGCACTCCATCATAGGGGACAGAGCTAGACTCCACCTCAAAAAAAAATGTTAAAAGTGGTAAGCTATATAGGTATATTTATCCTCAATAAATATTTCTTCAAAGAAAAGTAAAGGGTGTAGGGGTTGCTGGTGATGACATCTCTGTGTGGGTGAGAGGCCAGGATGGGCTTCTGGGAAATGGGTAAGGTTGAGGGGCTGAGGGAACCTCTGATCTCCCCAAACTGAGCCCAGTCTCCCTCCTCTGGGTCTCTCCTGACCGCTTTCTCCATCTGCCTGGGTGCCTGGAGCCCTGGCCGTGGGCCTCCATGCAGGCCATGTAGGAGGGTTTGGAGGTGCCCTGTCGGCCATCCTGTGCCCTGATCCCTCCCTCACACCGAGGCTGCGTCTTCTCTCTGCATCTGTCCATGCTTCTCTCCATCCTCAGCAGGAAGCTCCTCAGCTAAGGCTCTAGGATCATAGGACATGGGACAGCCATGGGCTTTCCTCACCTGTGACAGAAACAAGCAGTGGGTCACTTGACTTTGACCACTCGTATGGAGAGTCATGGAAAGAGCCGAAGCATCTGTAGGTCCCTCCGTGGGTGGCAGGGCCCAGAGGAAAGTCAGCCTGGAATGTTCCGTTGACCTTGGGCCCTGCAGGGAGCCTACGTTCATGGGCCTCCCCTTCCCTGGATAGATGGTACATGTCATAGGAGCTCCGGGAGCTGCAGGACAAGGTCACATTCTCTCCTGCCAGAACCGTGGGGCCCAGCTGGGCTGAGAGAGAAGGTTTCTCATATAGACCTGGAAGGAGAAGAGGCAGTTTCCTCAGGGAGGATCTTCTTTGTCACAGCTCCCTTCACCTGAGCTGAGAACTCACTCCCCTGTTCTATGACCTAATGCTCTCTCTCTCTCTCTCTCACCCTCTACCCCATCGCTCTTCATGTCTATTTCCTCCTTCCACCTTCTCTGTCTCTCTAGGTCTCTGACCTCACTTCCCCACCTCTAGATATGTTTTCTCTTTTTGGATTGTTTTATTCTCTCTGACTCTCCTTGGATTGGTTGACTTGATGTTACTTTTTTTAATTCTGAGTTTCTCACTTTGTGTCCTGTTCATAACTTTCTGCATATTTCTATCTATTATCTATCGATCTATCTATTTATCTATTCGGTGCCTATCTACAAATTCTCTACCTGTCATCTATATCTATATATCATCTATTTATCCATCAATTGTCTATCTATCCATCAATCATCTATTATCTATATCTATGTATCATCTCTCTCTCTCTATGATTTCTCTATGTCTGCCTCTGTATCTCTATGTATTATCTATCTATCTGTCTTCATCATCATCATCTCTATGTCTCATCTATTAATGAATCAATCAATCATCATCTATGTATCTATAACCTATTATCTATCATCTACCTATTTATCATCTATCTATATCTATCCATCTATCATCTGTCTTGCTCTGCCTCTCGGTCTCTCTAGTTCTCTTTGGAATCTCTGCAATTCATCCCCACATCTCCATCTTTCAATGTCCTTGTGCCTCTCCCTCAGGAGTCTAATTTTAGTGCTTTTCTCTGCTCCCTTCCATCATTCTCACCACTCCTCTGCCCTCTTTTCTCTCTCTTTATGTGTCTGTGAGTCTCTCAATCTCCTTCCTCTGGCTCATTCTCTGTGTGTTTATGTCTTTGCTTTTTGGTGTCCCTGATTTCTCTCTGTGCCTCTCACTGATCCTCTCATAAGTGGGCTTATTTGGAATATGAGCCTCAGAATCCAGTCTGGAGACTACAAGTTCACACAGCATACAGGGGTTGGTGTTGTGGGGCCATGATATCCTGGGACGATTACTCTCCATTACATGGAAGGCAGAGGTGTCAGAATAAACATGGCATCTGTAGGTGCCACAAGGCCTGAGGCCACAGGGCCCAACTCAGGTCAGAAATATGGGTGTCCTTGGGTTCTCCTGGTAGAGAACACTTTGTGGAGGTAAAACAGAAATGAAACTTCTAACCTGTGCCAGGTCTCTGAGCAAAGTCAGCATGGAGGGACACCTCTCTCTGGGACATGTCTGTCTGTGTGTCTCCTTTAACTCTTTCTGTCTTTTCTAACTCCCGGTATGGCCCCTGTGTCTGTTCTCTGTTATGACACCTGGTCTCTACTTGTGTCTCCTGTTTCTCTGTCTCTGTTGGCACAGACCTCACCAAGTCAGTCTCTCTCCATAAGAATACCAAGCTCATCTTCCTTACAGCCACCTGGGTCTCCAATTCCTGGATCATTCACTCTGCATCCCAATGACAATGAGAAGAAAGTCTGGACACTCTCACCTATGATCACGATGTCCAGAGGGTCACTGGGAGCTGACACCTGATAGGGGGAGTGAGTAACAGAACCGTAGCATCTGTAGGTCCCTGCCAGGTCTTGCGTCATGCGACTGATGGAGAAGTTGGCCTTGGAGACCCCATCATGGTGTTCTCCAATGAGGCGCAAAGTGTCGTTAAACATCCCCTCTCTGTGCAGAAGGAAGTGTTCAAACATGACATCTGACCAACACTGCAGGATGACTGTCTCTTCTGATTTCACCAGGCGACCTGGGTGGGCCAGGAGGGAAGGTTTTCTGTGGACTCCTAGGAAGAGAGGTTGTGAGTTTAGAAGGTGTCTCTCTTTATCATCCCATCCATGGCACCTGGATTGAGTCAGGCTTCCCCTTCCTGGTGTCTTATCTCTCTCCTTCCTCTCTGTGTCTTCATGTTCTTTTCTGTGCCCATAACTCCTGGTGCAGGTCCTTCCATCTGTCTCCCTCACTCTTCTCTGTCCCTCTGTCTCTAGTAGCCTCTGATTCCCTTGCCGCTGGGCTCAGCCTCATCTCTTGGGCTGTTGTATCTATTTCGAACTAATGTCTTTCCTGCTGTCTATGTGGGGGTGGAAGAGGAACCAGGATAGGCTGCACATCCAGGCTCTTAGCAGCCTGGTTCAATCTCTTTTGGACGAATTGGAATCCTTGGCAGGAGGTATGAACTGATCAGTAAGGCAGGCACCAGTGGCCACACACCCTGTTCCTGGTAGGGACTGGGAGCCACTCTTGCCATGCCAGTGCCAGCTTCCATAGGCTGGCTCCTGGTGCTGGTTGGAGGAGTATCAACCCCTCCCTATGTGGATGGAGCCTGGTGGTGGCATCATCATCTGAGCCTTGCTGATCTCAGTGTAGCCAACCTTCTCCTTGTTTGGTTTCTTTAATTAATTAATTAATTTTGGCGACAGAGTCTCACTCCTTTGCCCAGGCTGGAGTGAAGTGGTGTGGTCTAGGCTCACTGCAACCTCTGTCTCCTGGGTTCAAGTGATTCTCCTGCCCTCAGCCTCCCAAGTCGCTAGGATTACATGCACCTGCCACCATGCCTGGCTATCCTTGTGTTGTTTCTTAACTTGTCCTTGACCTGGGTTCCAGTGTTGGTTTCCTGTTGCTGCTGTAGAAAATTATCAGAAGCATGGCACCAGGAGAGAGCACACTAACCCCTTCCAATTCTGGAGACAGAAATCGGACCCTGTTTGTCGTGGGTAAAATCAAGGCACCTGCAGGGCTTCGTTCCCTCTGGAGACTCAGGAGAATCAGTTCCTTGACTTTTCCAGCCTCTATAGGCCACCTGCATTCATGGCTCCTGGACTTCCTCCACCTTCAAAGCTGATGGAGACTCCCATTATGCTGCTGTAATCCCCACTCCCCTCTTCCTCCTCCTTTCCTGTGGACCCCTGTGACTACACTGAGCCCATCAGGACAGTCCAGGCTGTCTCCCCATCTCAAGGTCAACTCATCAACAACCTGAGCTCCATCTTCTCCTTCAGTCCCTTCCCCTATATCATAAATAGTCACAGACTCCAGGGATTAGAATGTAGTCATCACTGGGGACAATTATTCTTCCCACCACAGCACCCATTTCCCTGTATTCAATCCCCCTTTACCCCAAATACAGTCAGGACTTGCATGATGGGACCCGCAAGGACACGCCCACCAGGAGCTCTGGGATTCAGGAGGTGGGACAAGGAGAATCCCAGACAGGAGCCCTCTGACCTGTGACCGTGATCTCCAGGGGGTTGCTGGGTGCCGACCACCCACTGGGGTAGTGTGGTTGTGAACCCCGACATGTATAGGTCCCTGCGTGTGCTGGGGTCACAGGGCCCATGAAAAGGCTGTTCCAGAATATTATGTTGTAGAGCTCAGGGACAGGCACCCCATCTTCCTTTTACAGACTGAAGTTGTTAAACCCAAGATAAGAATGACACTGAAGAATCACATGTCCTGGAGGCACCACAGGGCTTGGCCAGGCAGACAGCAAGGGCTTGTCCTGACCACCGTGGGGAGAAGGAGGCACCGCCTTAGAGAGGAGGATGTGGAGCCGCCCCTCCCTCCCTGTGCTCTGAAGATTCTCCTCGCTTTCCAAGTTTCTATGGCTGCTATCACACCTTGGTGCCCAGGGCTAAAGGAAGGACCCATCCCGCAAACACAAGGTGTCTCCCTACAACAAAAGTGTCAGCTGAGAACTTTGAGCAAGTGCTGAGTAAGAGACTCCTACTAGATTTTAATACTGTAAGATTACTCACATAAAACAACACAGGGTAGACATGGGGTGGAGGGCATGTCCTTTGAGAATGGAATATCAGCCGATGCCTGAACGAAAATAAACAACTGAGTCCCCATCAGAGGATTGGAATGTCAGGGCCATGGCTGTGGTTTTCCCACCTCTTCTGGTAGAATGACAGCAGCCACACTGCAGCCCCTACCGTCATGGAAACGCTGAAGTGTGTGAGTAACACCTTTGTCCTCAGAGGATCTGCTGTTCCTACCACTTCCCCACCACACACCCCAGCTTTGAGCACCGTAGTCTAACCCTGGTCCCCACAGAACTTGACTCTGCCAAGGGAATGAAAGGCCAGGGAGGCAAGGTCAGAAATGTGGGCCCAGCACCCCAGGGTCCCTTCTTCCTAGTTTATGAGAGACTCCCTGACAGGACTTCCCTCCCATTTCAGGAAAATCCTCTTATGTGGGGAGATGACACCCGAAGGTTGGGAGAAGGACTCACCCTCATGTGGCCAGGCCCCCTGCAGCAAGAAGAACCCTGGAAAGAAAGATCATGATGGATGACCCATCTGCAGGCAAACCAGGGCACCCTTGCTGCCCCCACTGGGCTGTGAGTCTTGGTAGCCAGGCCCTTCCTGGGCTGAAGGTAAACTCACCCTCAGTGCCTACCTGCACCCAAGAACAGGGCTGTCGGCTGTGCAGAGACCCAGCCTCCAGGTCCATATCCCCACCTCAAGCCCATATCTCCACTCCAGGCCCATATCTCCACTCCAGGCCGATATTTCCACCCTAAGCCCATATCGCCAATCCAGGCCCATATCTCCAATCCAGGCTCAGATCTCCACCCTGGGCCCATATCTCCAATCCAGGCCCTTATCTCCACTCCAGGTCCATATCTCCTCTCCAGTCCCATATCTCCACTCCAGGCCCATATATCCTCTCCAGTCCCATATCTCCACACCCAGGCCCGTATCTCCATCCTAGGCACATATCTCCTCTCCAGGCCCAGATATCGACCTCTAGGCCCATATCTCCACTCCTGGCCCATATCTCCACTCCAGGCCCAGATATCGACCTCTAGGCCCATATCTCCACTCCTGGCCCATATCTCCACTCCAGGCCCATGTCTCCACTTCAGGCCCATATCTCTACTGCAGGCCCATAACTCCACCTCCAGGCCCATGACTCCACTCCAGGCCCATATCTCCACCTCCAGGCCCATATCTCCCCTCCAGGTTCCTATCTCCCCTCCAGGTTCCTATCTCCACTCCAGGCCCAGATCTCCACTACAGTCCCATCACTCCACCTCCAGGCCTATATCTCGACCTCTGGGCCCAGATCTCCACTTCTAGGCCCATCACTCCATCTCTAGGCCCATATATCCACTCCAGGCCCAGATCTCCACTCCAGGCCCATAACTCCACCTCCAGGCCTATATCTCCACCTCTGGGCCCAGATCTCCATCCCCTCACTCCCTCCCTCTATTGCTTTCCAGGACTCACCAACACACGCCATGCTGACGACCAAGAGCGACATGGTGCTGCCGGAGCAGACAGGCAGCCGCGACCGAGCTCAGCTCAGCAGCGCACAGGATGTTATTTGGCGCCCTGCCCATGCAGTTTACATGTTGACCACATCATGGGAGGGTGACGTACGCAGGCTCTTTCTACCTTGCATGAGGCCCAGTGGGTGCTCGCTCAAGAGCGGAACACGGCTTCCTGGAAATTGTTCTCGCTAGAATTTGACACCTAGTGTCCTTCACTATGACCAACTCAAAACACGTCTGAGATCCAACCTCCCGAACACGAGATGCCTAAAATCTGTGCTAACATGAAAGACTTTTCATGTATTTCTATTGTTTTTATCTGAGATTCAAACTCTTCTTCCTGTGTAATATGCAAAATATCTAATAGGTATTATTAATGTTTTCAGAGTCATTGTCACTAATAAACCATTAGAATTTTTCATGCTTGTATTTCTAGTATTACAGCAGAACCAGTTAAAATGATTTAAATTCCCAGGGAAGGATTATGCAATTATTTACAATCTTAGAATTGTACTTTATCAGTAAAAACCCCACCTGTAAATTCTGGAGTTTTGTAGTTTAATCTAAAATTTGTCTCATGACCCAAGATTCCAGAGTCCCAACTCTGGAGTTTGTTTTCCGTCTGTCTCTCTCCCTCCCTCATTTTAAATTTTACAGAAATATCCAGTAACATAATGCTATAGAAAATCAAGTTTCCCCAGCACGTTGGGAAGCCGAGGTGGGCGGATCAACTGAGATAAGGAGTTTGAGAGCAGCCTGGCCAATATAGTGAAACCGTGTCTCTGCTAAAAATCCAAAAATTAGCCGTGCCTGGTGGCAGGCACCTGTAACGCCAGCTACTCAAGAGGCTGAGGCATGAGAATCGCTTGAACCTGGGAGGCAGAAGTTGCAGTGAGCTGAGATTGTGTCACTGCAGTCCAGCCTGGGCGACAGAGCAAGACTCCGCCTCAAGAAAAAAAAGCAAATAGCCTATAATAACAAATTAGAGAGCTCTGGCTACTAAATTTAAAGGGTTCTATAAGGCTACATAAAGTGCAGCATCATCAAGAGTGTGGACACAGAGAGCCCCTTAGCAGAAACAGTGTCTAAAGTACATCCGTGTACACACAGTCCCTTTAGAGTTGACAAAGGCTGCCGTGTGGTTTAAGGTGGCATAGAATGTCTTCTCAATAAATAATATTAAACCAATGGGTTATACCTAGGAAAAAATAAATCTAACTCACACTATAAAAACACTTCTTAGTTTTTATCTAGTTGTACATTTTTTATGATTTATATTTAAATTTGAGAAATAAAAGTCATATACGGTCATCCTTCACTATTCGTGGGTGATTGGTTTCGAGATCTCCACTCAGATACCAAAATCTGTAGATGCTCAAGCCTCTTATATGAAATGGCACAGAGTTTGCAAATAACCTATGCACATCCTCCTGTATACATGAAATCATCTCTAGATTACTTATAATTCCTGATGCAGCCTACACACAGCTTCATTTGTGTCCATTCAACACAGTTCTGCTTTTTGTAACTCTGTGGATACTTTCTCTGAATATTTTTGATTTATACTCGGTTCAATAAAGAACTGTAAACCCCACAGATATGGAGGAGTGACTGTATATTTATAGTGTGAAAGATGATGTGTTGATATGTGTCCCTGTGTAGATGAGACTAACAAGGCCTATGATTCTACAAATGTTTCATCTTGGAATGACTCTGCCAGATTTCCAGGTCTGCAGAGAGTAAGAATATCACTTGTTCATGTGATTCACGATCCTTGGAACCTCCTATGTGCTACATCTTTGGATGGAAATAGGAGTCCCAGAGACAAATGAGGCTCCACCCTGCTTCCAGAAACTCAGAGTCCGGGGGTGAGAACCCAGTGGAGAACAGATGGGGTTATGTGGACATGGTAATGATAATGGAAGTCTTAGGCAAGAAAAGAGTCCCATTACCGAAACCATGAGGGCAGACATGTTTATTTGAAGGAGGGAAAACTACATTGAAATTATTTTAAAAAATATATAAGTTTTACTGCTGACAGAAGGCTGAAAGATACTCTGAGGGGAGGTGGAACAGCATGAGGGAAGGTGGAACAGGACGTGTCTAAGTGCCGTGTTAAGAGGGAGCCTCTTGTATGTTTGGAACTGTGAGTTCCTCAGTGTGATTGCAGCCTCAAGTAGACTAGGAAGTAAGCCAGTAAGGTTGGAGAGGTGGGCAGGGGTCAAGTGAAATGGAGAATTGTGGGCTAAGCAAAGGAGTGTGTTTTCTCTCCAGCAGGCAGTGGGGACCTTAGACATTTGTAAGCAAGAGAGAGGCACATTCAGATTTGTGGTGTGAGGAAGAGCGATGCCCTAAGATGCAGACTCACGCCTTCAGATTCCAGCTGCTGGTACATGGGAGCTGGCAACCCGGTTTTGAGACAGGGCTGTTGTCTCCCTAGAAGATCCCCTCAAGGCCTGACTGTGGTGCTCATGGGCAGGAGACAACTTTGGATCTGGACTCAGCATTTGGAAGTTCCGTGTACACTCTGGTATCTGTTGGGGGTGTCTTGGGCCTCTGAGAAGGGCGAGTGATTTTTCTCTGTGTGAAAACGCAGTGATCCAACTGTACGTATGTCACCTCCTGAGGGTCTTGTTCATCAGAGTCCTGGAGAGAGGGAAATCCTGAGTGAGGGAGGGTGCTCACGTTTTCCAGGACTGTTTGGGAATAACACTAGCCACGAGGCTGGGCCGAGGAGCACCTACCTCGCTATTCGCTGTTCTGTTCCCTGCAGGCTCTTGGTCCATTACAGCAGCATGTGTAGGAGACGGAAGTCAACAAAAGAGCTCGGAGGGCACTTCTGGGTCCTCATTTCATAAGCAGATACCAACAAACAGGGGGAGGCCATAGGTGCCTGAGGTCCCTCAGTTGCCAACAGCAGACTCAGACATTCTATCTCTCTGAGCTCAAGGACCCATCCCATGAATAGCTCTGAGTTCCCATCCCATTGATTCTGTCTCCCACTTTCTGCCTGTCATGGAACCTTCTCCTGGATGTGAGTGGCTGCAGGGGACATGAGGATACAGTTCAGAATCAGGCAACGGTCTGTGAGCTGAAAGCAGGGACAGGGAGTCTGGTGCCCTCTCTAGAAAGTCCTGCCTCTGTGGCTGCTGCCTTGGGCCAGGGACCATCCTACCTGTGAGGAACACACACCTGAGTGCTCCCATCCTGCTTCCCCACATGGCCCTGAGCTCTCTGGCCTCTCCTTCGTGAGACTTACTTTTCTTGTTGGAGCACCAGCGATGAAGGAGAAAGAAGAGGAGGAGGATGAAGAGGATGATGACCACTGAGGTCCCAATCAGAACGTGCAGGTGTCTTGGGTTACCTGGAAGAAGATGAGACACCAATAAGAAGCTAATCATAGCAGTTCCTCTTTATGAATTGTCTCGCATTTCTTGATTGACAGGTAACCACGTAAAACACCTCTTTAGGACAAGCACCCAGATGGCGGGAGACCCAGCTTTCTCCTGCTTTCTCAGTTATAGCTCTCAAAGTAACCATAGAATGTGCTGAGGACACAACTACTTTAGTTGAGATGTTTGACCCCTTCAAACCTCACATTGAAATTTCACCCCCATTGTGGGAGGTTGGGCCTCTTGAGAGGTGTTTGGGTCATGGAGGTGGATCCATCATGAACAGATCAATGCTGTCCCAAGGAGACGGGGTTAGCTAGTTCCCCCTCTATTAGTTCCTGGAGAGCTGGTTGTTCAAAAGAACTTGGAAGCTCCATCGCTCCCCCTCCCCCTTGCTCCCTCTCTTGCCGTGTGATCTCTGTGGTCTCTGCACAGACAGACCCTCCTTCCCTTCTGCCAGAGTGGGAGCAGCCTGAGGCCATCACGAGAAATAGATGCTGGTGCCATGCTTCCAGTACAGCCTGCAGAACGGTGAGGCAAACCAATCTCTTTTCTTTAGAAGTTGCCCAGGCTCAAGTGTTCCTTTAGAGCAACAAAAATGGACTAAGACAGCAACGTCCTGAGATCAGGAGGAACGTCCCAGAGCAGCCTGGGCTGTCTTCCTGTTCTTCCTGGAGGAGGACGTCATGCAGTGCTTTAGCTGAGTGCTTCCTGTGGCTCCAGGGTACAAAACCCAGGCTGGGCTGCTTTCTGGCTTCCCCCAGCTACACTGCAAATGGGGTGACTCCATATGTCCCGAGCAGCTTTTCTGAGCCTTGAGGGACTGGCTCACATTGAAATGTAGGCTTCTGTTTTCACTCGCTGCTTATCTGTTAGTAATGAACCTGCCTATGTAACGTATTCTCTGTGTGTTCTGTCTCCCTGGAGTGACGGTGAGTGATAGGAATTGGCGTAGGCCCAGGTGCAGTCTAGGAGGTGTTTAGGGTCTTTTCTGGGAAGACTGCACTGGGATTGACACACAGCGAATGTGCTTTAGGATTTCTACATCCACAGCATTCTTGAGTCAAACAACTTGCGTTCTCCAAGGAAAGGAAACAAAAGTGAAATCAAGATAAAAAAGCGAAATAGAGTTATCTTATGTCCAACAGCCAGGAAATCGTGTTGAAGCCCCTGTGAAACGTCCTACTCTTTGTGATCTCGGGAGACACATGTTAGGCTGCTGTTCTACCTGAGAGGCTGGGGGAAGGACCACCCCCTCCACCATCTATTGCTTCAATACCACCTGTCCTCCTGTGAATTAGTAGGAAAGGGGAGCAGGAGCTAGTGCTGGTGCTGATCTCTCATTCCAAGATCTGGACTCACTCCAAGGAGTATTAATGTTTACCTCCCCATGGTCTATCTGAATCTCCACAGGTGATTGGAAGTAGGGGTGAAGTGGGGGATTTGAGTGAGAGGGCAAGTTTTTTTTGTGATGAACAGAGCACTTTCTCTATTCCACGATCTGTGCTGGAGGATTCAGCGGGCTTTCACATTTTCTATATGGTCTCATGCTCACAGAAAGCCAAATACGGAAGAGGTTTTAGGCTCATTGCCTAATGGATAAGACAAAGGATCAAAGAAGTAATTATAGAGAAATACAAAAATGATGATTGGAATTCAGGTGCCTTTGTCATTCGTGTGTGTTTTATTATATTTATGCATTTCTTATTTTTATTTTTTGAGACGGAGTCTCCTTGTGTCACCCAGGCTGGAGTGCAGTGATGCAATCTCCACTCACTGCAACCTCCACCTCCTGGGTTGAAGTCGTTCTCCTGCTTCATCCTCAAGAGTAGGAGCTGGGATTACAGGGATGCACCACCATGCTCGGCTAATTTTTGTATTTTTCATAGAGACAGGGTTTCACCATTTTGGCCAGGCTGGTCTGGAACTCCTGACTTCAAGTGATCCACCCGCCTTGGCCTCCTGCAGTGCTGGGAATTGCCTTTTCCACGGCCTGAGCATGGGGCCGTGGCTGAATGAGTCAGTGAGTCGAAGTGTGCGTGCATGAGCTCCGTTCTCTGTTAAGGCAAAGCTCTTGCTCTGCTGAGTCAGCCAGGGTTGCTTCATGACCAACAGTAATTCATTCCTGGGCAAGTGGAACTTCTCTAAAACACCTCGCCCTCATCAAATGTTCCCTACCCTTCCCTCTCTCAAGCCCCCAGGAATTTATCCTCCAGTTAGGAATGCAGGCAGAACAAACATTGCATTTTTCCTGAGAAGGATGTCAGATTGCCAATCATTTTTCTAGCTTGTAGGAGATCTCAGCTCCATAAAATGAGAGATTAAGAGATTTCACAGAGCCCTGTTTTGGGTCCAGATCCCTTTCGCTGTTGGAGTATCTGGAGTTTGGAGATGGTAGAAGACAGGCGTACAATGTCAGAGCTGTGAGATGCTGAGTCAACGCCTGAATCCAAGGTTTCCACCTCCCCAGGTTTCCAAAAGCGGATATAAGAGGGTTCTGTACTCACCGGTTTTGGAGCTTGGTTCAGTGGGTGAAGGCCAACTATTTGAAGGGTTTCCTAGAACATGAGACAGGAGAGAGGTGAGGAAATGAGGGTGTCTGTCCTCTACTCAGTGGAAATCTTTGAGGTTGGTTCATGGCCAACACTCTGTTATCTAATATTGGGCCCTGGGAGTCCTGGGATCCTTTTTTCCGTAATTTTTGTATGTGACGGCTACTGTCTTGAGACTTCAAGGTATAAAGAGAAAACAGGAGCATCACACTACCTGATCTCAAAATATGTTACAGAGCTGTAGTAAGCAAGACAGCATGACGTTGGCATGAAGAAAGGCACATAGAACAACGGAGCAGAATGAATAACACAGATATAATCCATGCATTTACCTCCAATGTATTTTTTGTTTTTCTTTTGAGATGGAGTCTTGCTCTGTCACCCAGGCTGGAGTGCAGAGGTGCAATCTCGGTTCACTGCCACCACAGCCTCCTGGGTTCAATCACTTCTCTTGCCTCAAACTCCTGAGTAGTGGTATTACAGGTGCTGACCACCATGCTCAGCTAATTTTTATATTTTTAGTGGAGACGATGTTTCATCACGTTGGCCAGACTAATCTTGAACTCTTGGCCTCAGGTGATCCACCCACCTCGGGCTCCCAAAGTGCTGAAATTGCAGGTGTCAGCCACCATGCCCAGCCCATCCAATGGACTTTGACAAAGGTGCCAAGAACTCACAATCAGGAAAGGACAGTCTTTTCAATAAACAGTGCAGGGAAACCTGGACATCGACATGCAGAGGAATGAAACTGCACCTCTGCCTGTCACTATACACAAAAATCAAATGAAAATGGATTAAAGATGTGAGTCTAAGGCCTGAACCTATGAAACACGTAGAAGAAAATATTGGGGAAATGCTCCAGGACGTTTGTCTGAAGGAAGACATTTTGTTTTAAACCTTCAAAACACAAGTAATCGAAGCAAAAATAGACCATTGGGATTACCTCAAACTAAGCAACTTCTGCACCGCTAAAAATAAACCAACAAAGTGAAGAGACAACCCACAGATTGGGAGCAAATATGTGCAAACTATGCATCTGAGATGGGATTAATAACTAGAAATATAAGAAGCTCAAACAACTCAATAAAACAAATGATTTAATTGAAACAGGAGCAAAAGACATGAAATTTCCCCACATACGAAAAAGTGCTCAGTATCACTCATCATCAGAGAAACACAAATTAAAATCAAAGTGAGTTTTCATCTCACCCCATTAAAATGGCTTTTAGGCCGGGCGTGGTGGCTCACGTCTGTCATCCTAGAACTTTGAGAGCCTGAGGTGGGTGAATCTCATAAGGTCGGGAGTTTGAGACCAGTCTGACCCACATGGAGAAACACTGTCTCTACTAAAAATACAAAAATTAGTCGGGCGTGGTGGCGTGTGCCTGTAATTCCAGCTACTCGGGAGGCTGAGGCAGGAGAATCGCTTGAACCTGGGAGGTGGAGGTTGTGGTGAGCCGAGATCGCACCACTGCACTCAGCCTGGGTGACAAGAGCGAAACTCCATCTCAAAATAAAATGAAATAAAATAAAATGGCTTTTAGCTGCAAGACAGGCAAAAGAAATGCTGGCAAGGTGTTAGAGAAAGGAGAATCCTGGTATCCTGTTGGTAGGAGTGTAAATTAGTACAGCCATTACGGAGAAAAGTGTGGAAGTCCTTTAAAGAACTAAAAAGAGGTTGGGTGAGGTGGATCATGCCTGTAATCCCGGCACTTTGGGAGACCGAGGCGGGCACCTCAGTTGAGGTCATGAGTTTGAGAGCAGCCCAGCCAACATGGGGAAACCGCATCTATACTAAAAAAAACAAAAAGTAGCCAGGCATGGTGGCGTGCGCCTATAATCCCTGATACTAGGGAGGCTGAGGCAGGAAAATCATTTGAACCCAGGAGGCAGAGGTTGCAATGAGCCAAGATGACATCACTTGTACTCCAGCCTGGGCACAGAGGGAAACTGTCTCAAAAACAAAAACAAAACAACAAACGAAAAACTAAAAAGAGAACTTTCATAGTATCCAGCAATTTCACTACTGGGTTTATATCCAAAGGAAAGTAAATCAATATATCGAAGTGATATCTGCACTCGTATGATTGGTGCAGCACTCTTCACAGTAGCCAAGATGAGGAGTCAACCTACCTGCCCATCAGTGGGTGAATGGATAGAGAGAATGTGGTACATTTGCATAGTGGAGACTACTCTTCCATAGAAAGAAAAACATCCTGATATTTGCAGCCACATGGATGGAACTGGAGGTCATTACAAAGATTCCCATTTCTTACCCATATACAGGAGCTAAAAGGTGGATCTCATGAAGGTAGAGAGTAGAATGGTGGCTACCAGAGGCCAGGAAGAAAAGGGTGGAGGGTAAAAAAAAATATGTGTATATATATATATATTAATGTATTTATGACCACTAGACTTTACACTTAAAAATGGTAAATGTGGCTGGGCGTGGTGGCTCATGCCTGTAATCCCAGCACTTTGGGAGGCTGATGCGGGTGGATCACGTGGTCAGGAGTTCGAGACCAGCTTGACCAACATGGTGAAACCCCCTCTCTACTAAAAATACAAAAAGTAGCCTGGCATGGTGGTGCGCGCCTGTAGCACCAGCTACTCAGGTGGCTGAGGCAAGAGAATCGCTTGAACCCAGGAGGCGGAAGTTGCAGTGAGCTGAGATTGTGCCAATGCACTCCAGCATAGGGGACAGAGCTAGACTCCGCCTCAAAAAAAAAATGTTAAAGGTGGTAAGCTATATAGGTATATTTATCCTCAATAAATATTTCTCAAACAAAAGTAAAGGGTGTAGGGGTTGCAGGTGATGACATCCCTGTGTGGGTGGGAGGCCAGGATGGGCTTCTGGGAAATGGGTAATGTTGAGGGGCTGAGGGAACCTCTGATCTTCCCAAACTGAGCCCAGTCTCCCTCCTCTGGGTCTCTCCTGACCGCTTTCTCCATCTGCCTGGGTGCCTGGAGTCCTGGCCGCAGGCCTTCATGCAGGCCATGTAGGAGGGTTTGGAGGTGCCCTGTCTGCCATCCTGTGCCCTGATCCCTCCCTCACACCCAAGCTTCGTCTTCTCTCTGCATCTGTTCATCCTTCTCTCCATCCTCAGCAGGAAGCTCCTCAGCTAAGGCTCTAGGATCATAGGACATGGGACAGCCATGGGCTTTCCTCACCTGTGACAGAAACAAGCAGTGGGTCACTCGAGTTTGACCACTCGTAGGGAGAGTCACGGAAAGAGCCGAAGCATCTGTAGGTTCCTCCGTGGGTGGCAGGGCCCAGAGGAAAGTCAGCCTGGAATGTTCCGTTGACCTTGGGCCCTGCAGAGAACCTACGTTCATGGGCCTCCCCCTCCCTGGATAGATGGTACATGTCATAGGAGCTCCGGGAGCTGCAGGACAAGGTCACGCTCTCTCCTGCCAGAACCGTGGGGCCCGGCTGGGCTGAGAGAGAAGGTTTCTCATATAGACCTGGAAGGAGAAGAGGCATTTTCCTTACGGAGGATCTTCCTTGTCACAGCTCCCTTCACCTGAGCTGAGAACTCACTCCCCTGCTCTATGACCTAATGCTCTCTCTCTCTCTCTCTCTCACCCTCCACCCCATCTCTCTTCATGTCTATTTCCTCCTTCCACCTTCTCTGTCTCTCTAGGTCTCTGACCTCGCTTCCACACCTCTAGATATGTTTTCCCTTTTTGGATTGTTTTATTCTCTCTGACTCTCCTTGGATTGGTTGACTTGATGTTACTTTTTTAAATTCTAAGTTTCTCACTTTGTGTCCTGTTCATAACTTTCTGCATATTTCTATCTATTATCTATCGATCTATCTATTTATCTATTCGGTGCCTATCTACAAATTCTCTACCTGTCATCTATATCTATATATCATCTATGTATCTATCACTTGTCTATCTATCCATCAATCATCTGTTATCTATATCTATGTATCATCTCTCTCTCTATGACTTCTGTCTGCCTCTCTATCTCTATGTATTATCTATCTGTCTTCATCATCATCATCTCTATGTCTCATCTATTAATGAATCAATCAATCATCATCTATGTATCTTTAACCTATTATCTATCATCTACCTATTTATCATCTATCTATATCTATCCATCTATCATCTGTCTTGCTCTGCCTCTCGGTCTCTCTAGTTCTCTTTGGAATCTCTGCAATTCATCCCCACATCTCCATCTTTCTATGTCCTTGTGCCTCTCCCTCAGGAGTCTAATTTTAGTGCTTTTCTCTGCTCCCTTCCATCATTCTCACCACTCCTCTGCCCTCTTTTCTCTCTCTTTATGTGTCTGTGAGTCTCTCAATCTCCTTCCTCTGGCTCATTCTCTGTGTGTTTATGTCTTTGCTTTTTGGTGTCCCTGATTTTCTCTCTGTGCCTCTCAGTGATCCTTTCATATGTGGGGTTATTTGGAATGTGAGCCTCAGAATCCAGTCTGGAGACCACAAGTTCACACAGCATACAGGAGTTGGTGTTCTGGGGCCATGATATCCTGGGACGGTTACTCTCCATTACATGGAAGGCAGAGGTGTCAGAATAAACACGGCATCTGTAGGTGCCACAAGGCCTGAGGCCACAGGGCCCAACTCAGGTCATAAATATGGGTGTCCTTGGGTTCTCCTGGTAGAGAACACTTTGTGGAGGTAAAACAGAAATGAAACTTCTAACCTGTGCCAGGTCTCTGAGCAAAGTCAGCATGGAGGGACACCTCTCTCTGGGACATGTCTGTCTGTCTGTCTCCTTTAACTCCTTCTGTCTTTTCTAACTCCCGGTATGGCCCCTGGTGTCTGTCCTCTGTTATGACACCTGGTCTGTACTTGTGTCTCCTGTTTCTCTGTCTCTGTTGGTACAGACCTCACCAAGTCAGTCTCTCTCCATAAGAATACCAAGCTCATCTTCCTTACAACTACCTGGGGGTTCCAAGTCGTGGATCATTCCACTCTGCATCCCAATGACAATGAGAAGAATGTCCGGACACTCTCACCTGTGATGACGATGTCCAGAGGGTCACTGGGAGCTGACAACTGATGGGGGAGTGAGTAACAGAACCGTAGCATCTGTAGGTCCCTGCCAGGTCTTCCATCATGGGACCGATGGAGAAGTTGGCCTTGGAAACCCCATCATGGTGCTCTCCCAGTGAGGTGCAAAGTGTCGTTAAACTTCCCTTCTCTGTGGCAGAAGGAAGTGCTGAAACCTGACATCTGACCAACATTGCAGGATGACTGTCTCTTCTGATTTCACCAGGGGACCTGGGTGGGCCAGGAGGGAAGGTTTTCTGTGGACTCCTAGGAAGAGAGGTTGTGAGTTTAGAAGGTGTCTCTCTTTATCATCCCATCCATGGCACCTAGAATGAGTGAGGCTTCCCCTTGCTGGTGTCTGTCTCTCTCCTTCCTCTCTGTGTCTTCATGTTCTTTTCTGTGCCCATAACTCCTTGGTGCAGGTCCTTCCATCTGTCTCCCTCCCTCTTCTCTGTCCCTCTGTCTCTAGTCGCCTCTGATTCCCTTCCCACTGGGCTTAGCCTCATCTCTTGGGGTGTTGTATCTATTTCACACTAATGTCTTTCCTGCTGTTTATGTGGGGGTGAAAGAGGAACCAGGATAGGCTGCACATCCAGCCTCTTATCAGGCCTGGTTCCAATCTCTTTTGGATGAATTGGAATCCTTGGCAGTAGGTTATGAAACTGATGAATAAGGCAGGCACCAGTGTCCACACACCCTGTTCCTGCGTCGGGACTGGGAGGCCACTCTTGGCCATGCCTGTGCCTTCTCCATGGTGGCCAGCTTCCATAGGGCTGGCTCCTGGTGCTGGTTTGAGGAGTATCAACCCCTCCCTATGTGGATGGAGCCTGGTGGTGGCATCATCATCCCACACTTGCTCATCTCGGTGTAGCCAACCTTCCCCTTGTTTGGTTCCTTTAATTAATTAATTAATTATGGAGACAGAGTCTCACTCCTTCACCCCAGCTGGAGTGAAGTGGTGTGGTCTAGGGTCACTGCAACCTCTGTCTCCTGGGTTCAAGTGATTCTCCTGCCCTCAGCCTCCCAAGTCGCTAGGATTACATGCGCCTGCCACCACACCCGGCTATCCTTGTGTTGTTTCTTACCTTGTCCTTGACCTGGGTTCCAGTGTTGGTTTCCTGTTGCTGCTGTAGAAAATTATCAGAAGCATGGCAGCAGGAGAGAGCACACTGACCCATTTCACTACTGGAGACAGAAATAGGACCCTGTTTTTCCTGGGCTAAAATCAAGGCATCTGCAGGGCTTCGTTCCCTCTGGAGACTCTGGAGAATCATTTCCTTGACTTTTCCAACCTCTACAGGCCACCTGCATTCATGGCTCCTGGCCTTCCTCCACCTTCAAAGCTGGTGGAGTCTCCCATTGCGCTGCTCTAATCCCCACTCCCCTCTTCCTCCTCCTTTCATGTGGACCCTTGTGATTACACTGAGCCCAGCGGGACAGTCCAGGCTGTCTCCCCATCTCAAGGTCAACTCATCAACAACCTGAGCTCCATCTTCCCCTTCAGTTCCTTCCCCTATAACATAAATAGTCACAGACTCCAGGGATTAGAATGTAGTCATCACTGGGGACAATTATTCTTCCCACCACAGCACCCATTTCCCTGTATTCAATCCCCCTTTACCCCAAATATAGTCAGGGCCTGGGTGATGGGACCCTCAAGGACACGCCCACCAGAAGCTCTGGGATTCAGGAGGTGGGAAAGGAGAATCCAAGACAGGAGCCCTCTGACCTGTGGCCATGATCACCAGGGTGTTGCTGGGTGCCGACCACCCACTGGGGTAGTGTGGGTGTGAACCCCGACATCTGTACGTCCCTGTGTGTGCTGGGGTCACAGGGCCCATGAAAAGGCTCTTCCAGAATATTCTGTTGTAGAGCTCAGTGCCAGGCACCCCATCTTCCTTTTACAGACTGAAGTTGTTAAACCCAAGATAAGAATGACACCGAAGAATCACATGTCCTGGAGGCACCACAGAGCTGGGCCAGGCAGACAGCAAGGGCTTGTCCTGACCACCTTGGGGAGAAGGAGGCACCGCCTTAGAGAGGAGGATGTGGAGCCACCCCTCCCTCCCTGTGCTCTGAAGATTCTCCTCGCTTTCCAAGTTTCTATGGCTGCTATCACACCTTGGTGCCCAGGGCTAAAGGAAGGACCCATCCCGCAAACACAAGGTGTCTCCCTACAACAAAAGTGTCAGCTGAGAACTTTGAGCAAGTGCTGAGTAAGAGACTCCTACTAGATTTTAATACTGTAAGATTACTCACATAAAACAACACAGGGTAGACATGGGGTGGAGGGCATGTCTTTGAGAATGGAATATCAGCAGATGCCTGAATGAAAATAAGCAACTGAGCCCCCATCAGAGGATTTGGAATGTCAGGGCCATGGCTGTGGTTTCCCACCTCTTCTGGTGGAGTGACAGCAGCCACACTGCAGCCCCTACCGTCATGGAAACGCTGAAGTGTGAGTAACACCTTTGTCCTCAGAGGATCTGCTGTTCCTACCACTTCCCCACCACGCACCCCAGCTTTGAGCACCCCAGTCTAACCCTGGTCCCCACAGAACTTGACTCTGCCAAGGGAATGAAAGGCCAGGGAGGCGAGGTCGGAACTGTGGGCCGAGCACCCCAGGGTCCCCTCTTCCTAGTTTATGAGAGGCTCCCTGACAGGACTTCCCTCCTGTTTCAGGAAAATCCTCTTATGTGGGGAGATGACACCCTAAGGTTTGGAGAAGGACTCACCCTCATGTGGCCAGGCCCCCTGCAGCAAGAAGAACCCTGGAAAGAAAGATCATGATGGACGATCCATCTGCAGGCAAACCAGCCCTCCCTTGCTGCCCTCACTGGGCTGTGAGTCTTGGTAGGCAGGCCCTTCCTGGACTGAAGTTAAACTCACCCTCAGTGCCTACCTGCACCCAAGAACAGGGCTGTCGGCTGTGCAGAGACCCAGCCTCCAAGCCCAGATCCCCACCACAAGCCCATATCCCCACCACAAGCCCATATCTCCACTCCAGGCCAATATTTCCACCCTAGGCCTGTATCTCCACTCCAGGCCCATATCTCCACTCCAGGCCGATATTTCCATCATAGGCCCATATCGCCAATCCAGGCCCATATCGCCAATCCAGGCCAAGATCTCCACTGTAAGCCCATATCTCCAATCCAGGCCCATATCTCCACTCCAGGCTCAGATCTCCAACCTAGGCCCATATCTCCAATCCAGGCCCATATCTCCACACCAGGCCCATATCTCTACTGAAGGCCAGTAACTCCACCTCCAGGCCCATATCTCCACTCCAGGCCCAGATCTCCACCCCAAGCCCATATCTCCACCCCAGGCCCATATCTCTACTGAAGGCCCGTAACTCCACCTCCAGGCCCATATCTCCACCCCAGGCCCAGATCTCCACCCCAAGCCCATATCTCCACTCTAGGCCCATATCTCCTCTCCAGTCCCATATCTCCACAACCAGGCCCATATCTCCATCCTAGGCCCATATTTCCACTCTAGGCCCAGATATCCACCTCTAGGCCCATATCTCCACTCCTGGCCCAAATCTCCACTCCAGGCCCATATCTCTACTATAGGCCTATAACTCCACCTCCAGGCCCATATCTCCACTCCAGGCTCCTATCTCCCCTCCAGGTTCCTATCGGCACTCCAGGCCCAGATCTCCACTTCTAGGCCCATCACTCCATCTCTAGGCCCATATATCCACTCCAGGCCCAGATCTCCACTCCAGGCCCACAACTCCACCTCCAGGCCTATATCTCCACCTCTGGGCCCAGATCTCCAACCCCACACTCCCTTCCTCTATTCCCTTCCAGGACTCACCAACACACGCCATGCTGACGACCGTGAGCGACATGGTGCTGCCGGTGCAGACAGGCGGCCGTGCCCCAGCTCAGCTCAGCAGCGCACAGGATGTTATTTGGCGCCCTGCCCATGCAGTTTACATGTTGACCACATCATGGGAGGGTGACGTACGCAGGCTTATTCTACCTTGCATGAGGCCCAGTGGGTGCTCGCTCAAGAGCGGAACACGGCTTCCTGGAAATTGTTCTCACTAGAATTTACACCTAGCGTCCTTCACTATGACCAACTCAAAACACGTCTCAGATCCAACCTCCTGAACACGAGATGCCTAAAATCTGTGCTAACGTGAAAGACTTTTCATGTATTTTTATTGTTTTTATCTGAGATTCAAACTCTTCTTCATGTGTAATATGCAAAATATTTAATAGGTATTATTAAGGTTTTCAGAGTCATTGTGACTAATAAACCATTAGAATTTTTCATGCTTGTATTTCTAGTATTGCAGCAGAACCAGTTAAAATGATTTAAATTCCCAGGGAAGGATTATGCAATTATTTACAATCTTAGAATTGTACTTTATCAGCAAAAACCACACCTGTAAATTCTGGAGTTTTGTAGTTTAATCTAAAATTTGTCTCATGACCCAAGATTCCAGAGTCCCAACTCTGGAGTTTGATCTCTCTCTGTCTCTCTGCCTCCCTCATTTTAAATTTTACAGAAATATCCAGTAACATAATGCTATAGAAAATCAAGTTTCCCCAGCACGTCGGGAAGCCGAGGTGGGCGGATCAACTGAGATGAGGGGATTGAGAGCAGCCTGGCCAACATAGTGAAACCGTGTCTCTGCTAAAAATCCAAAAATTAGCCATGCCTGGTGGCAGGCACCTGTAACGCCAGCTACTCAAGAGGCTGAGGCACGAGAATCGCTTGAACCTGGGAGGCGGAGGTTGCAGTGAGCTGAGATTGTGTCACTGCAGTCCAGCCTGGGCGACAGAGCAAGACTCCGCCTCAAGAAAAAAAAAAGCAAATAGCCTATAATAACAAATTAGAGGGCTCTGGCTACTAAATTTAAAGGGTTCTATAAGGCTACATAAAGTGTAGCATCATCAAGTGTGTGGACACAGACAGCCCCTTAGCAGAAACTGTCTAAAATACATCCATGTACACACAGTCCCTTTAGAGTTGACAAAGGCTGCCGTGTGGTTTAAGGTGGCATAGAATGTCTTCTCAATAAATAATATTAAACCAATGGGTTACACCTAGTAAAAAATAAATCTAACTCACACTATAAAAACACTTCTTAGTTTTTATCTAGTTGTACATTTTTTGATTTATATTTAAATTTGAGAAATAAAAGTCATATACGGTCATCCTTCACTATTCGTGGGTGATTGGTTTCGAGATCTCCACTCAGATACCAAAATCTGTAGATGCTCAAGCCTCTTATATGAAATGGCACAGCGCTTGCAAATAACATATGCACATCCTCCTGTATACATGAAATCATCTCTTGATTACTTATAATTCCTGATACAGCCTACACACAGCTTCATTTGTGTCCATTCAACATAGTTATGAGTTTTGGAACTCTGTGGATATTTTCTCTGAATATTTTTGATTTATACTTTGTTCAATAAAGACCTGTAAACCCCACAGATACGGAGGAGTGACCGTATATTTATAGTATGAAAGATGATGTGTTGATATGTGTCCCCATGGAGATGAGACTAACAAGGCCTATGACTCTACAAATGTTTCATCGTGGAATGACTCTGCCAGCTTTCCAGGTCTGCAGAGAGTAACAATGTCACTTGTTCATGTGATTCCCGATCCTTGGAACCTCCTATGTGCTGCATCTTTGGATGGAAATTGGAGTCCCAGAGACAAATGAGGCTCCACACTGCTTCCAGAAGCTCAGAGTCCAGAGGTGAGAACCCGGTGGAGAACAGATGGGATTATATGGACATGGTACTGATAACACCGGAAGCCTTAGGCAAGAAAAGAGTCCCATTACCTAAACCATGAGGGCAGACATGTTTATTTGAAGGAGGGAAAACTACATTGAAATTATTTTAAAAAATATATAAGTTTTACTGCTGACAGAAGGCTGAAAGCTAGTCTGAGGGGAGGTGGAACAGCATGAGGGAAGGTGGAACAGCACGTGTCTAAGTGCCGTGTTAAGAGGGAGCCTCTTGTATGTTTGGAATTGTGAGTTCCTCAGTGTGATTGCAGCCTCAAGTAGACTAGGAAGTAAGCCAGTTAGGTTGGAGAGGTGGGCAGGGGTCAAGTGAAATGGAGAATTGTGGGCTAAGCAAAGGAGTGTGTTTTCTCTCCAGCAGGCAGTGGGGACCTTAGACATTTGTAAGCAAGGGAGAGGCACGTTCAGATTTGTGGTGTGAGGAAGAGCGATGCCCTAAGATGCAGACTCACGCCTTCAGATTCCAGCTGCTGGTACATTGGAGCTGGCAACCCAGTTTTGAGACAGGGCTGTTGTCTCCCTAGAAGATCCCCTCAAGGCCTGACTGTGGTGCTCATGGGCAGGAGACAACTTTGGATCAGGGCTCAGCATTTGGAAGTTCCGTGTACACGATGATATCTGTTGGGGGTGTCTTGGGCCTCTGAGAAGGGCGAGTGATTTTTCTCTGTGTGAAAACGCAGTGATTCAACTGTGCATATGTCACCTCCTGAGGGTCTTGTTCATCAGAGTCCTGGAGAGAGGGAAATGCTGAGTGAGGGAGGGTGCTCACATTTTCCAGGACTCTTTGGGAATAACACTAGCCACGAGGCTGGGCCGAGGAGCACCTACCTCCCTGTTCACTGTTCTGTTCCCTGCAGGCTCTTGGTCCATTACAACAGCATCTGTAGAAGACGGAAGTCAACAAAACAGCTCAGAGGGCACTTCTGGGCCCTCATTTCATAAGCAGATACCAACATACAGGGGGAGACCATAGGAGCCTGAGGTCCCTCAGTTGCCAACAGCAGACTCAGACATTCTATCTCTCTGAGCTCAAGGACCCATCCCATGAATAGCTCTGAGTTCCCATCCCATTGATTCTGTCTCCCACTTTCTGCCTGTCATGGAACCTTCTCCTGGATGTGAGTGGCTGCAGGGGACATGAGGATACAGTTCAGAATCAGGCAATGGTCTGTGAGCTGAAGGCAGGGACAGGGAGTCTGGTGCTCTCTCTAGAAAGTCCTCCCTCTGTGGCTGCTGCCTTGGGCCAGGGACCATCCTGTCTGTGAGGAACACACACCTGAGTGCTCCCATCCTGCTTCCCCACATGGCCCTGAGCTCTCTGGCCTCTGCTTCGTGAGACTTACTTTTTTTGTTGCAGCACCAGCGATGAAGGAGAAAGAAGAGGAGGAGGATGAAGAGGATGATGACCACTGAGGTCCCAATCAGAACATGCAGGTGTCTGGGGTTACCTGGAAGAAGAGGAGACACCAATAAGAAGCTAATCATAGCAGTTCCTCTTTATGAATTGTCTCACATTTCTTGATTGACAGGTAACCACATACAACACCCCTTTAGGACAAGCACCCAGATGGAGGGAGACCCAGCTTTCTCCTGCTTTCTCAGTTATAGCTCTCATAGTAACCATAGAACGTGTTGAGGATACAACTACTTTAGTTGAGATGTTTGACCCCTTCAAACCTCACATTGAAATTTCACCCCCACTGTGGGAGGTTGGGCCTCTTGAGAGGTGTTTGGGTCATGGAGGTGGATCCATCATGAACAGACCAATGCTGTCCCAAGGAGACGGGGTTAGCAAGTTCCCCTTCTATTAGTTCCTGGAGAGCTGGTTGTTCAAAAGAGCTTGGAAGCTCCATCGCTCCCCCTCCCCCTTGCTCCCTCTCTTGCCGTGTGATCTCTGTGGTCTCTGCACAGACAGACCCTCCTTCCCTTCTGCCAGAGTGGGAGCAGCCTGAGGCCGTCACGAGAAATAGATGCTGGTGCCACGCTTCCAGTACAGCCTGCAGAACTGTGAGGCAAACCAATCTCTTTTCTCTAGAAGTTACCCAGGCTCAAGTGTTCCTTTAGAGCAACAAAAATGGACTAAGACAGCAACGTCCTGAGATCAGGAGGAACGTCTCAGAACAGCCTGGGCTGTCTTCCTGTTCTTCCTGGAGGAGGACGTCATGCAGTGCTTTAGCTGAGTGCTTCCTGTGGCTCCACAGTACAAAACCCAGGCTGGGCTGCTCTCTGGCTTCCCCCAGCTACACTGCAAATGGGGTGACTCCATATGTCCCGAGTAGCTTTTCTGAGCCTTGAGGGACTGGCTCACATTGAAATGTAGGTTTCTGTTGTCACTCGCTGCTTATCTGTTAGTAATGAACCTGCCTGTGTAATGTATTCTCTGTGTGTTCTGTCTCCCTGGAGTGACGGTGAGTGATAGGAATTGGCATAAGCCCAGGTGCAGTCCAGGAGGTATTTAGAGTCTTCTCTGGGAAGACTGCACTGGGATTGATACACAGCGAATGTGCTTTAGGATTTCTACATCCACAGCATTCTTGAATCAAACAACTTGCATTCTCCAAGAAAAGGAAACAAAAGTGAAATCAAGATAAAAAAAGCTAAGTAGAATTCTCTTATGTCAAATGGCCAGGAAATAGTGTTGAAGCCCGTGTGAAACGTGCTACTCTTTGTGATCTCGGGAGACACATGTTAGGCTGCTGTTCTACCCGAGAGGCTGGGGGAAGGACCACCCCCTCGGCCATCTATTGCTTCAATACCACCTGTCCTCCTGTGAATTAGTAGGAAAGGGGAGCAGGAGCTAGTGCTGGCACTGATCTCTGATTCCAAGATCTGGACTCACTCCAAGGAGTATCAATGTTTACCTCCCCATAGCCTATCTGAATCTCCACAGGTGATTGGAAGTAGGGGTGAGGTGGGGGATTTGGGTGAGTGGGCAAGTTTTTTGTTGCGATGAACAGAGCACTTTCTCTATTCCACGATCTGTGCTGGAGGATTCTGAGGGCTTTCACATTTTCTATGTGATCTCATTCTCACAGAAAGCCAAATAGGGAAGAGGTTTTAAGCTCATTGCCTAATGGATAAGATAAAGGATCAAAGAAGTAATTATAGAGAAATAGAAAAACGATGATTGGAATTCAGGTGCCTTTGTCATTCGTGTGTGTTTTATTATATTTATGTATTTCTTATTTTTATTTTTTGAGATAGAGTCTCCTTGTGTCCCCCAGGCTGGAGTGCAGTGATGCAATCTCCACTCACTGCAACCTCCACCTACTGGGTTGAAGTCATTCTCCTGCTTCATCCTCCAGAATAGGAGCTGGGATTACAGGGATGCACCATCGTGCTCGGCTAATTTTTGTATTTTTAGTAGAGATAGGGTTTCACCACGTTGGCCAGGCTGGTCTGGAACTCCTGACTTCATGGAATCCACCCACCTTGGCCTCCTGCAGTGCTAGGTTACAGGCGTGAGCCACTGTTCACAGACTTGTATATTATGCTATAATAAGTCTCTTCATTTCCACCACCACTCATATATCTGTCACTCCTTTGCCAGGTATTGATTTATGTGTAGGATGAATAAATCTCAGAAAGAAATTAATTAAGCGAGGATTAAACAAGTAGGAAAATCAAACCCAGTAAGCGTTTCCAGTCAATGATTCTACCTCACAAACATATCTTATATCCATCTACTTCATTCATTTAGTGTCTAAATCAGCACCACATTTCACCAGTGGGGTGGCAATTGCCTTTTCCACGGTCTCCTAGATTCCAGTTATGCAACTGAGCCTCCCTTATTTTCATGTCAGTCATATTAATCATGTAGGGATTCCTGGTTACCCCGAGGTGAATCCAATGGCTGTGAGTGTCAAACACACACTCCTTGTTGCTCCTTAGTTTCCTGTGTACCCAGTGTGCTCTCCGTCTCTCTACAGTCGTCTTGTCATTCTCCCCACATCATTCCCAGCATTTGAGGCAGAGCCTCTTCCTTCCACATCAGATTGTTTTCACCTTTGTGCCTTCACGGCTGACAGCTGTGTGTGCAAAATCCTTCCGCCAATCTTTCAGGGGTTCAATCCGTGTTTTTCATTAATGTCACAAATATCTGAATAGTGAGACCTTCTTTGTCACCTGAAATCATACACTCAGCATTATCTATTATTGATTTTGAATTCTGGCTGGGCACAGTGGCTCACGCCTGTAGTCCCATTACTTTGGCATGCTGAGACGGTCGGATCACTTGAGGTTGGGAGTTTCAGACAAGCTTGGCCAACGTGGTGAAACATCCTCTCTACAAAAAATATACAAAAAGAATTAGCCGGGCACGGTGGCAGTTGCCTGTAATCCCAGCTACTCGAGAGGCGGAGGCAGGAGAATCACTTGAATCCAGGAGACGCAGGTTGCAGTGAGCCAAGATCGTGACACTGCACTGTAGCCTGGAAGACAGAGGGCGACTCTGTCTCAATAAACAAAAGAACAAACAAAAAATAGATTTCATGCACAGATGCTTCCCAATGGATCATTCATTTATAGATCCACTTGTGCATTCATTTTCTGCCCTCCCATTTAACCATCTGCAATATCAGTGTCCCAAGGGCAGAAGCCAAATGCATCTTGTTCACCGTTTGTGGAAGGCAGGAGAATGCTGTCCCACCCCAAAATGTCCCTGTCCTAGCCTCCATAGCTTGTGAATATGTTATTTTACATGGAAAGGAGGAATGAAGATTGTAGATGGAATTGCGGTTGCTAATCAGCTGAACTTAAAACAAGGGTATCCTGGATGATTTCCAGGAGATTATGAGGGATTTTCATCTTGGTGAACCCAATAGAATCCCCAAGTTTTCAAAAGATAAGGAAGAAGGGAGAGCAGCATTCAGAGAAAGAGGTGTGGTAAGGAAGAAGGCACTGAGTGATGCCATGTGAGATGTGACCAGTCTTTGTGGGCTTTGAGGAAGGAGGAAGGGGAACAGGAGCCAAGGAACTGGGAGCCTTTAGAAGCTGGGATAAGTGAGAAGCAGATTCTTGCCTGGAATCCTCAGAGGGAAGGCAGCCTTGCTGTCACCTTGATTTTAGCCCAGTAAGATGCACTTCCTACTTTGAGCTACAGCACTGTAAGATAATTAAAAAACCGTTTTGTTTTCACCCACGAATCTTGTGGAAATTTGTTATGGCAACAATAGGAAAAGGTTCCGCACTGCACAGCCTGAGCATGGGGCCGTGGCTGAATGAGTCAGTGAGTCGAAGTGTGCGTGCATGAGCTCCGTTCTCTGTTACGGCAAGGCTGTTGCTCTGCTGAGTCAGCCAGGGTTGCTTCATGACCAACAGTAATTCATTCCTTGGCAAGTGGAACTTCTCTAAAACACCTCGCCCTCATCAGATGTTCCCTTCCCTTCCCTCTCTCAAGCCCCCAGGAATTTATCCTCCAGTTAGGAATGCAGGCAGAACAAACATTGCATTTTTCCTGAGAAGGATGTCAGATTGGCAATCATTCTTCTAGCTTGTAGGAGGTCTCAGCTCCATAAAATGAGAGATTAAGAGATTTCACTGAGCCCTAGGTTGGGCCCAGATCCCTTTCGCTGTTGGAGTATCTGGAGTTCGGAGATGGTAGAAGACAGGCGTACAATGTCAGAGCTGCGAGATGCTGAGTCAATGCCTGCATCGAAGGTTTCTACCTCCCCAGGTTTCCAAAAGCGGATATAAGAGGGTTCTGTACTCACCGGTTTCGGAGCTTGGTTCAGTGGGTGAAGGCCAACTATTTGAAGGGTTTCCTAGAACACGAGACAGGAGAGAGGTGAGGAAATGAGGGTGTCTGTCCTCTACTCAATGGAAATCTTTGAGGTTGGTTCATGGCCAACACTCTGTTATCTAATATTGGGCCCTGGGAGTCCTGGGATCCTTTTTTCCGTAATTTTTGTATGTGACGCCCACTGTCTTGAGACTTCAAGGTATAAAGAGAAAACAGGAGCATCACACTACCTGATCTCAAAATATGTTACAGAGCTGTAGTAAGCAAAACAGCATCACATTGGCATAAAGAAAGGCACGTAGAACAATGGAGCAGAATGAAGAACACAGATATAATCCATGCATTTACCTCCAATGTTTTTTTCTTTTTTCTTTTGAGATGGAGTCTCGCTCTGTCACCCAGGCTGGAGTGCAGAGGTGCAATCTCGGTTCACTGCCACCACAGCCTCCTGGGTTCAATCAATTCTCTGGCCTCAAACTCCTGAGTAGTGGTATTACAGGTGCTGACCACCATGCTCAGCTAATTTTTATATTTTTAGTGGAGACAATGTTTCATCACGTCGGCCAGACTAATCTTGAACTCCTGGCCTCAGGTGATCCACCCGCCTTGGGCTCCCAAAGTGCTGAAATTGCAGGTGTCAGCCACCATGCCCAGCCCATCCAATGGACTTTGACAAAGGTGCCAAGAACTCACAATCAGGAAAGGACAGTCTTTTCAATAAACAGTGCAGGGAAACCTGGACATCTACATGCAGAGGAATGAAACTGCACCTCTACCTGTCACTATACACAAAACTCAAATGAAAATGGATTAAAGATGTGAGTCTAAGGCCTGAACCTATGAAACACGTAGAAGAAAATATTGGGGAAATGCTCCAGGACATTTGTCTGAAGGAAGACATTTTGTTTTAAACCTTCAAAACACAAGTAATCGAAGCAAAAATAGACCATTGGGATTACCTCAAACTAAGCAACTTCTGCACCGCTAAAAATAAACCAACAAAGTGAAGAGACAACCCACAGATTGGGAGCAAATATGTGCAAACTATGCATCTGAGATGGGATTAATAACTAGAAATATAAGAAGCTCAAACAACTCAATAAAACAAACGATTTAATTGAAAAAGGAGCAAAACACATGAAATTTCCCCACATACTAAAAAGTGCTCAGTTTCACTCATCATCAGAGAAACACAAATTAAAATCAAAGTGAGTTTTCATCTCACCCCATTAAAATGGATTTTAGGCCGGGCGTGGTGGCTCACGTCTGTCATCCTAGACCTTTGAGAGCCTGAGGTGGGTGAACCTCATAAGGTCGGGAGTTTGAGACCAGTCTGACCCACATGAAGAAACACTGTCTCTACTAAAAATACAAAATTTAGTTGGGCGTGGTGGCGTGTGCCTGTAATTCCAGCTACTCGGGAGGCTGAGGCAGGAGAATCGCTTGAACCTGGGAGGTGGAGGTTGTGGTGAGCCGAGATCGCACCACTGCACTCCAGCCTGGGTGACAAGAGCGAAACTCCATCTCAAAATAAAATGAAATAAAATAAAATGGCTTTTAGCTGCAAGACAGGCAAAGGAAATCCTGCCAAAGTGGTAGAGAAAGGAGAACCCTAATACCCTGTTGGTAGGAGTGTAAATTAGTACAGCCTTTACGGAGAAAAGTGTGGAAGTCCTTTAAAGAACTAAAAAGAGGTTGGGTGAGGTGGATCATGCCTGTAATCCCGGCACTTTGGGAGACCGAGGCGGGCACCTCAGTTGAGGTCATGAGTTTGAGAGCAGCCCAGCCAACATGGGGAAACCCCATCTATACTAAAAAAAACAAAAAGTAGCCAGGCATGGTGGCGTGCACCTGTAATCCCAGCTACTAGGGAGGCTGAGGCAGGAAAATCATTTGAACCCAGGAGGCGGAGGTTGCAATGAGCCAAGATGACTTCACTTGTACTCCAGCCTGGGCACAGAGGGAAACTGTCTCAAAAACAAAAACAAAACAACAAACGAATAACTAAAAAGAGAACTTTCATAGTATCCAGCAATTTCACTACTGGGTTTATATCCAAAGGAAAGTAAATCAATATATCGAAGTGATATCTGCACTCGTATGATTGGTGCAGCACTGTTCACAGTAGCCAAGATGTGGAGTCAACCTACCTGCCCATCAGTGGATGAATGGATAGAGAGAATGTAGTACATACGCACAGTGGAGACTACTCATCCATAGAAAGAATAACATCCTGATATTTGCAGCCACATGGATGGAACTGGAAGTCATTACAAAGATTCCCATTTCTCACCCATATACAGAGCTAAAAGGTGGATCTCATGAAGGTAGAGAGTAGAATGGTGGCTTCCAGAGGCCAGGAATAAAAGGGTGGAGGGTAAAAAAAAAAAAAAAAAAAAAAATATATATATATATATATATATATATATATATATATGTTTATATATGTGTGTGTGTGTGTATATATATATATATATATATATATATAAATGTATTTATGACCACTAGACTTTACACTTAAAAATGGTAAATGTGGCTGGGCGTGGTGGCTCATGCCTGTAATCCCAGCACTTTGGGAGGCAGATGCGGGTGGATCACGTGGTCAGGAGTTGGAGACCAGCTCGACCAACATGGTGAAACCCCCTCTCTACTAAAAATACAAAAAGTAGCCTGGCGTGGTGGTGCGCGCCTGTAGCACCAGCTACTCAGGTGGCTGAAGCAGGAGAATCACTTGAACCCAGGAGGCGGAAGTTGCAGTGAGCTGAGATTGTGCCACTGCACTCCAGCATAGGGGACAGAGCTAGACTCTGCCTCAAAAAAAAAAAAAATGTTAAAGGTGGTAAGCTATATAGGTATATTTATCCTCAATAAATATTTCTTCAAACAAAAGTAAAGGGTGTAGGGGTTGCTGGTGATGACATCCCTGTGTGGGTGAGAGGCCAGGATGGGCTTCTGGGAAATGGGTAATGTTGAGGGGCTGAGGGAACCTCTGATCTTCCCAAACTGAGCCCAGTCTCTCTCCTCTGGGTCTCTCCTGACCGTTTTCTCCATCTGCCTGTGTGCCTGGAGCCCTGGCCGCGGGCCTTCATGCAGGCCGTGTAGGAGGGTTTGGAGGTGCCCTGTCTGCCATCCTGTGCCCTGATCCCTCCCTCACACCCAAGCTTCGTCTTCTCTCTGCATCTGTCCATGCTTCTCTCCATCATCAGCAGGAAGCTCCTCAGCTAAGGCTCTAGGATCATAGGACATGAGACAGATATGGGGTTTCCTCACCTGTGACAGAAACAAGCAGTGGGTCACTCGAGTTTGACCACTCGTATGGAGAGTCACGGAAAGAGCCGAAGCATCTGTAGGTTCCTCCGTGGGTGGCAGGGCCCAGAGGAAAGTCGGCCTGGAATGTTCCGTTGACCTTGGGCCCTGCAGAGAACCTACGTTCATGGGCCTCCCCCTCCCTGGATAGATGGTACATGTCATAGGAGCTCCGGGAGCTGCAGGACAAGGTCACGCTCTCTCCTGCCAGAACCGTGGGGCCCGGCTGGGCTGAGAGAGAAGGTTTCTCATATAGACCTGGAGGAGAAGAGGCATTTTCCTTACGGAGGATCTTCCTTGTCACAGCTCCCTTCACCTGAGCTGAGAACTCACTCCCCTGCTCTATGACCTAATGCTCTCTCTCTCTCTCTCTCTCACCCTCCACCCCATCTCTCTTCATGTCTATTTCCTTCTTCCACCTTCTCTGTCTCTCTAGGTCTCTGACCTCGCTTCCCCACCTCTAGATATGTTTTCCCTTTTTGGATTCTTTTATTCTCTCTGACTCTCCTTGGATTGGTTGACTTGATGTTACTTTTTTAAATTCTAAGTTTCTCACGTTGTGTCCTGTTCATAACTTTCTGCATATTTCTATCTATTATCTGTCGATCTATCTATTTATCTATTCGGTGCCTATCTACAAATTCTCTACCTGTCATCTATATCTATATATCATCTATGTATCTATCACTTGTCTATCTATCCATCAATCATCTGTTATTTATATGTATGTATCATCTCTCTCTCTATGATTTCTGTCTGCCTCTCTATCTGTACGTATTATCTGTCTTCATCATCATCATCTCTATGTATTATCTATTAATGAATCAATCAATCATCATCTATGTATCTTTAACCTATTATCTATCATCTACCTATTTATCATCTATCTATATCTATCCATCTATCATCTGTCTTGCTCTGCCTCTCGGTCTCTCTAGTTCTCTTTGGAATCTCTGCAATTCATCCCCACATCTCCATGTTTCTATGTCCTTGTGCCTCTCTCTCAGGACTCTAATTTTAGTGCTTTTCTCTGCTCCCTGCCATCATTCTCACCACTCCTCTGCCCTCTTTTCTCTCTCTTTATGTGTCTGTGAGTCTCTCAATCTCCTTCCTCTGGCTCATTCTCTGTGTGTTTATGTCTTTGCTTTTTGGTGTTCCTGATTTTTCTCTGTGCCTCTCAGTGATCCTTTCATATGTGGGGTTATTTGGAATGTGAGCCACAGAATCCAGTCTGGAGACCACAAGTTCACACAGCATACAGGGGTTGGTGTTCTGGGGCCATGATATCCTGGGACGATTACTCTCCATTACATGGAAGGCAGAGGTGTCAGAATAAACATGGCCTGTAGGTGCCACAAGGCCTGAGGCCACAGGGCCCAACTCAGGTCATAAATATGGGTGTCCTTGGGTTCTCCTGGTAGAGAACACTTTGTGGAGGTAAAACAGAAATGAAACTTCTAACCTGTGCCAGGTCTGTGAGCAAAGTCAGCATGGAGGGACACCTCTCTCTGGGACATGTCTGTCTGTCTGTCTCTTTTAACTCTTTCTGTCTTTTCTAACTCCCTGTATGGCCCCTGTGTCTGTCCTCTGTTATGACACCTGGTCTGTACTTGTGTCTCCTGTTTCTCTGTCTCTGTTGGTACAAACCTCAGCAAGTCAGTCTCTCTCCATAAGAATACCAAGCTCATCTTCCTTACAACTACCTGGGGGTTCCAAGTCGTGGATCATTCACTCTGCATCCCAATGACAATGAGAATGTCCGGACACTCTCACCTGTGATGACGATGTCCAGAGGGTCACTGGGAGCTGACAACTGATAGGGGGAGTGAGTAACAGAACCGTAGCATCTGTAGGTCCCTGCAAGGTCTTGCATCATGGGACCGATGGAGAAGTTGGCCTTGGAGACCCCATCATGGTGCTCTCCAATGAGGTGCAAAGTGTCCTTAAACTTCCCTTCTCTGTGCAGAAGGAAGTGCTGAAACCTGACATCTGACCAACATTGCAGGATGACTGTCTCTTCTGATTTCACCAGGGGACCTGGGTGGGCCAGGAGGGAAGGTTTTCTGTGGACTCCTAGGAAGAGAGGTTGTGAGTTTAGAAGGTGTCTCTCTTTATCATCCCATCCATGGCACCTAGAATGAGTGAGGCTTCCCCTTGCTGGTGTCTGTCTCTCTCCTTCCTCTCTGTGTCTTCATGTTCTTTTCTGTGCCCTTAACTCCTGGTGCAGGTCCTTCCATCTGTCTCCCTCCCTCTTCTCTGTCCCTCTGTCTCTAGTAGCCTCTGATTCCCTTCCCACTGGGCTGAGCCTCATCTCTTGGGGTGTTGTATCTATTTCACACTAATGTATTTCCTGCTGTTTATGTGGGGGTGAAAGAGGAACCAGGATAGGCTGCACATCCAGGCTCTTATCAGCCTGGTTCAATCTCTTTTGGATGAATTGCAATCCTTGGCAGAAGGTATGAACTGATGAATAAGGCAGGCACCAGTGTCCACACACCCTGTTCCTGGTGGGGACTGGGAGCCACTCTTGCCATGCCTGTGCCTTCTCCATGGTGCCAGCTTCCATAGGCTGGCTCCTGGTGCTGGTTGGAGGAGTATCAACCCCTCCCTATGTGGATGGAGCCTGGTGGTGGCATCATCATCCCACCCTTGCTGATCTCAGGGTAGCCAACCTTCTCCTTGTTTGGTTTCTTTAATTAATTAATTAATTATGGAGACAGAGTCTCACTCCTTCACCCAGGCTGGAGTGAAGTGGTGTGGTCTAGGCTCACTGCAACCTCTGTCTCCTGGGTTCAAGTGATTCTCCTGCCCTCAGCCTCCTGAGTCGCTAGGATTACATGCACCTGCCACCATGCCTGGCTTTCCTTGGGTTGTTTCTTAACTTGTCCTTGACCTGGGTTCCAGTGTTGGTTTCCTGTTGCTGCTGTAGAAAATTATCAGAAGCATGGCAGCAGGAGAGACCACACTGACACCTTCCAGTACTGGAGACAGAAATTGGACCCTATTTTTCCTGGGCTAAAATCAAGGCATCTGCAGGGCTTTGTTCCCTCTGGAGACTCTGGAGAATCAGTTCCTTGACTTTTCCAGCCTCTATAGGCCACCTGCATTCATGGATCTTGGCCTTCCTCCACCTTCAAAGCTGGTGAAGACTTCCACTGGACTGCTCTAATCCCCACTCCCCTCTTCCTCCTCCTTTCATGTGCACCCTTGTGATTACACTGAGCCCAGTGGGACAGTCCAGGCTGTCTCCCCATGAGCTCCATCTTCCCCTTCAGTCCCTTCCCCTATAACATAAATAGTCACAGACTCCAGGGATTAGAATGTAGTCATCACTGGGGACAATTATTCTTCCCACCACAGCACCCATTTCCCTGTATTCAATCCCCCTTTACCACAAATACAGTCAGGGCCTGCGTGATGGGACCCTCAAGGACATGCCCAACAGAAGCTCTGGGATTCAGGAGGTGGGACAAGGAGAATCCAAGACAGGAGCCCTCTGACCTATGACCACGATCACCAGGGGGTTGCTGGGTGCTGACCACCCACTGGGGGAGTGTGTGTGTGAACCCCGACATCTGTATGTCCCTGTGTGTGCGGGGGTCACAGGGCCCATGAAAAGGCTGTTCCAGAATATTCTGTTGTAGAGCTCAGGGACAGGCCACCCCACCTTCCTTTTACAGACTGAAGTTGTTAAACCCAAGATAAGAGTGACACCGCCGAAGAATGACATGTCCTAGAGGCACCACAAGGCTGGGCCAGGCAGACAGCAAGGGCTTGTCCTGACCACCTTGGGGAGAAGGAGGCGCCGCCTTAGAGAGGAGGATGTGGAACTGCCCTTCCCCTCCCTGTGCTCAGAAGATTCTCCTCGCTTTCCACGTTTCTATGGCTACTATCACACCTTGGTGCCCAGGGCTGAAGGAAGGACCCATCCCGCAAAGACATGGTGTCTCCCTACAACAAAAGCCTCAGCTGAGAACTTTGAGCAAGTGCTGAGTAAAGAGACTCCTACTAGATTTTAATACTGTAAGATTACTCACATAAAACAACACAGGGTAGACATGAGGTGGAGGGCATGTCCTTTGTGAATGGATATCAGCGGATGCCTGAACGAAAATAAACAACTGAGCCCCCATCAGAGGATTTGGAATGTCAGGGCCATGGCTGTGGTTTCCCACCTCTTCTGGTAGAATGACAGCAGCCACACTGCAGCCCCTACCATCATGGAAACGCTGAAGTGTGTGAGTAACACCTTTGTCCTCAGAGGATCTGCTGTTCCTACCACTTCCCAACCACACACCCCAGCTTTGAGCACCCCAGTCTAACCCTGGTCCCCACAGAACTTGACTCTGCCAAGGGGTTGAGAGGCCAGGGAGGCGAGGTCAGAAATGTGGGCTGAGCACCCCAGGGTCCTCTCTTCCTAGTTTATGAGAGACTCCCCGACAGGACTTCCCTCCTGTTTCAGGAAAATCCTCTTATGTGGGGAGATGACACCCGAAGGTTTGGAGAAGGACTCACCCTCATGTGGCCAGGCCCCCTGCAGCAAGAAGAACCCTGGAAAGAAAGATCATGATGGACCATCCATCTGCAGGCAAACCAGGCCTCCCTTGCTGCCCCCACTGGGCTGTGAGTCTTGGCAGCCAGGCCCTTCCTGGGCTGAAGTTAAACTCACCCTCAGTGCCTACCTGCACCCAAGAACAGGGCTGTCGGCTGTGCAGAGACCCAGTTTCCAGGCCCATATCCCCACCCCAAGCCCATATCTCCACTCCAGGCTGATATTTCCACCCTAGGCCCATATCGCCAATCCAGGCTCAGATCTCCACCCTAGGCCCCTATCTCCAATCCAGTCCCATATCTCCGCCCCAGGCCCAGATCTCCACCCTAAGCCCATATCTCCACTCCAGGCCCATATCACCTCTCCAGTCCCATATCTCCACACCCAGGCCCATATCTCCTTCCTAGGCCCATATCTCCACTCCAGGCCCAGATATCCATCTCTAGGCCCATAACTCCACTCCTGGCCCATATCTCCACTCCAGGCCCATATCTCTACTGCAGGCCCGTATCTCCACCTCCAGACCCATATCTCCACTCCAGGCCCATATCTCCACCTCCAGGCCCATATCTCCACCTCCAGGCCCATATCTCCACTCCAGGCCCATATCTCCACTCCAGGCCCCCTATCTCTACTGCAGGCCCATATCTCCATCTCCAGGCCCATATCTCCATCTCCAGGCCCATGTCTCCACTACAAGCCCATATCTCTACTGCAGGCCCATATCTCAACCTCCAGGCCCATATCTCCACTCCAGGCCCAGATCTCCACTCCAGGCCCAGATCTCCACTTCTAGGCCCATCACTCCATCTCTAGGCCCATAACTCCACTTCCAGGCCTATATCTCCAACTCTGGGCCCCGATCTCCATCCCCGCACTCCCTCCCTCGATGCCCTTCCAGGACTCACCAACACACACCATGCTGACGACCATGAGCGACATGGTGCTGTCTGTGCAGACAGGCGGCCGCGCCCCAGCTCAGCTCAGCAGCGCACAGGATGTTATTTGGCGCCCTGCCCATGCAGTTTACATGTTGACCACATCATGGGAGGGTGACGTACGCAGGCTCTTTCTACCTTGCATGAGGCCCAGTGGGTGCTCGCTCAAGAGCGGAACATGGCTTCCTGGAAATTGTTCTCACTAGAATTGACACCTTGCGTCCTTCACTACGACCAGACTCAAAAGACGTCTCAGATCCAACCTCTCATACACGAGATGATTGAATTCTGTGCTTACATTAAAGATTTTTGATGTATTTTTGTTTTTATCTGAGATTCAAACTCTTCTTCATATGTAATGTGCAAAATGTCTAACAGGTATTATTAACATTATCAGAGTAATTGTGACAAGAAGCCATTCTAATTTTCCTGCTTGAGTTTCTACTACTAAACCAGAGGCATCAGAATAGCTTGAACCTGGGAGACGGAGGTTGCAGTGAGCTGAGCTCAAGCCACTGAACTCCAGCTTGGGTGACAGAGGAAGAGTCTGTCTCAAGAAAAAAAAAAAAAAGCAAACTAAATAACCTATAATAACAAATCAGAGGACTCAGGTTACCAAATTTTAAGGGGTTCTATAAGTTTATATAAAATGCAGCATCCTCATGAGAGGGGATACAGAGAACCACTGGACAGAAAACTGTGTCTAAAATACATCTGTGGATACACAGTCCCTTTATAGTTGACAAAGGCTGCCATGTAGTTTAAGGTGGAATAGAATATTTTCTCAACAAATAACACAGGACCATAGGGTTACACGTAGGAAAAAATAAATCTAAACTTATCCTCACACTATAAAAACACTTCTTATTTTTTATCTTGTTGTTGTAAATTTTTTATGCTTTATTTTTAAGATTGACAAATAAAAATTATATACCATGGTCCTTCACTATACCTGGGTGATTGGTTCCAGGATCCCCATTCAGATACCAAAATCTGCAGATGCTCAAGCCCCTTGCATGAAATGGCATAGTGAAGCTGGGCACCGTGGCTCACGCCTGTAATCCCAGCACTTTGGGAGGCTGAGCTGGGTAGATCACAAGGTCAGGAGTTCAAGACCAGCTGGTCCAACATTCTGAAACCCCATCTCTACTAAAAATATACACACAAAAAAATTTATCTGTGCAGGGTGGCACGTGCCTGTAATCCTAGGGGAGGCTACTGGGGAGGCTGAGGGAAGAGAATCGCTTGAACCTGGAAGGCGGAGGTTGCAGTGAGTTGAGATCACGCCACTGCACTCCAGCCTGGGTGAGAGAGTGAGACTGTCTCAAAAAAAAAAAAAATAGCATAGCAATTGCATAGAACCCATGCACATCCTCCTGTATACATGAAATCATCTCTTGATTACTTATAATTCCTGACACAGCCTACACGCCACTCAATTTGTGTCGATTCAACATAGTTTTTTGCTTTTTGAAACTTCGGGGATTTTTTTTCTCAAAATATTTTTGATTTATTGCTGATTCAATAAACATGTGTAAACCCCAGAGATATGGAGGAGTGACTGTCTATTTATAGTAGTATGAAAGATGATGTGTTGATACGTGTCCCTGTGGAGATGAGACTAACAAGGCCTATGACTCTACAAATGTTTCATCGTGGAATGACTCTGCCAGCTTTCCAGATCTGCAGAGAGTAAGAATATCACTTGTTCATCTGATTCACCATCCTTGGAACCTCCTATGTGCTGCATCTTTGGATGGAAATTGGAGTCTCAGAGACAATTCAGGCTCCACCCTGCTTCCAGAAGCTCAGAGTCCAGGGGTGAGAACCCAGCGGAGAACAGATGGGGTTATGTGGACGTGGTAATGATAACACCGGAAGCCTTAGGCAAGAAAAGAGTCCCATTGACGAAACCATGAGGGCAGACATGTTTACTTGAAGAAGAGAAAACTACATTGAAATTATAAAAAAAATTTATAAGTTTTACTGCTGACAGAAGGCTGAAAGATACTCTGAGGAAAGGTGGAATAGCACGTATCTAAGTGCCGTGTTAAGAGGGAGCCTCTTATATGTTTGGAATTGTGAGTTCCTCAGTGTGATCGCAGCCTCAAGTAGACTAGGAAGTAAGCCAGTTAGGTTGGAGAGGTGGGCAGGGGTCAAGTGAAATGGAGAATTGTGGGCTAAGCAAGTGTGTTTTCTCTCCAGCAGGCAGTGGGGACCTTAGACATTTGTAAGCAAGAGAGAGGCATGTTCAGATTCGTGGTGTGAGGAAGAGCGATGCCCTAAGATGCAGACTCACGCCTTCAGAGTCCAGCTGCTGGTACATGGGAGCTGGCAACCCGGTTTTGAGACAGGGCTATTGTCTCCCTAGAAGATCCCATCAAGGCCTGACTGTGGTGCTAGTGGACAGAAGACAACTTTGGATCTGCGCTCAGCATTTGGAAGTTCCGTGTTACACGCTGGTATCTGTTGGGGGTGTCTTGGGCCTCTGAGAAGGGCGAGTGATTTTTCTCTGTGTGAAAACGCAGTGATTCAACTGTGCGTATGTCACCTCCTGAGGGTCTTGTTCATCAGAGTCCTGGAGGGAGGGAAATGCTGAGTGAGGGAGGGTGCTCACATTTTCCAGGACTCTTTGGGAATAAGACTAGCCACGAGGCTGGGCGGAGGAGCACCTACCTCCCTGTTCACTGTTCTGTTCCCTGCAGGCTCTTGGTCCATTACAACAGCATCTGTAGAAGACGGAAGTCGTCAAAACAGCTCGGAGGGCACTTCTGGGTCCTCATTTCATAAGCAGATACCAACATACAGGGGGAGGCCATAGGTGCCTGAGGTCCCTCAGTTGCCAACAGCAGACTCAGACATTCTATCTCTCTGAGCTCAAGGATCCATCCCATGTATAGCTCTGAGTTCCCATCCTATTGATTCTGTGTCCCACTTTCTGCCTGTCATGGAACCTTCTCCTGGATGTGAGTGGCTGCAGGGGATGTGAGGATACGGTTCAGAATCAGGCAATGGTCTGTGAGCTGAAGGCAGAGGCAGGGAGTCTGGTGCTCTCTCTAGAAAGTCCTGCCTCTGTGGCTCCTGCCTTGGGCCAGGGACCATCCTGCCTGTGAGGAACACACACCTGAGTGCTCCCATCCTGCTTCCCCACATGGCCCTGAGCTCTCTGGCTTCTGCTTCGTGAGACTTACTCTTTTTGTTGGCACACCAGCGATGAAGGAGAAAGAAGAGGAGGATAGCAAAGGGGATGATGACCACTGAGGTCCCAATCAGAACGTGCAGGTGTCTGGAGTTACCTGGAGGAAGACAAGACACCAATAAGAAGCTAATCATAGCAGTTCCTCTATATGAATTGTCTCACATTTCTTGATTGACAGGTAACCACATACAACGTCTCTTTAGGACAAGCACCCAGATGGCGGGAGACCTAGCTTCCTCCTGCTTTCTCAGTTGTAGTAACCATAGAACGTGCTGAGGATACAACTGCTTTAGTTTAGATGTTTGACCCCTTCAAACCTCACATTGAAATGTAACCCCCAGGGTGGGAGGTTGGGCCTCTTGGGAGTTGTTTGGGTCATGGAGGTGGATCCATCATGAACAGATCAATGCTGTTCCAAGGAGACGGGGTTAGCAAGTTCCCCCTCTATTAGTTCCTGGAGAACTGGTTGTTAAAAGAGCTTGGAAGCTCCATCGCTCCCCCTCCCCCTTGGTCCCTCTCTTGCCGTGTGATCTCTGTGGTCTCTGCACAGACAGACCCTCCTTCCCTTCTGCCAGAGTGGGAGCAGCCTGAGGCCGTCACAAGAAATAGATGCTGGTGCCATGCTTCCAGTACAGCCTGCAGAACTGTGAGGCAAACACATTTCTTTTCTTTAGAAGTTACCCAGGCTCAAGTGTTCCTTTAGAGCAACAAAAATGGACTAAGACAGCAACGTCCTGAGATCAGGAGGAACATCCCAGAACAGCCTGGGCTGTCTTCCTGTTCTTCCTGGAGGAGGACGTCATGCAGTGCTTTAGCTGAGTGCTTCCTGTGGCTCCAGGGTACAAAACCCAGGCTGGGCTGCTTTTTGATTTCCCCCAGATACACTGCATATGGGGTGACTCCACATGTCTCGAGCAGCTTTTCTGAGCCTTGAGGGACTGGCTCACATTGAAATGTAGGTTTCTGTTGTCACTCGCTGCTTATCTGTTAGTAATGAACCTGCCTGTGTAATGTGTTCTCTGTGTGTTCTGTCTCCCTGGAGTGACGGTGAGTGATAGGAATTGGTATAGGCCCAGGTGCATTCCAGGAGGTGTTTAGAATCTTCTCTGGGAAGACTGGATTGGGATTGATACACAGCGAATGTGCTTTACAGTTTCTACCACCACAACCCTCTTGACTCAAAAAAAATTACATTCTCCAAGAAAAGAAAGAAAAAATGAAATCAAGATAAAAAAAGTGAAGTAGAACTGACTTAAATCAAACAGCCATGAAATAATGATGTAGCCCAGGAACAACATGCTACTTTTTGTGATCTGCTGAGACATATATTAGGCTGCTATTCCACCCGAGAAGCACGGGGAAGGACCGCCCTCTCCGTCGTTTATTGTTTCAATACAGCCTGTCCTTCTGTGAGTTAGTACGAAATGTGACCAGGGGCTAGTGCTGGCACTGGTCTCTGAGTCCAAGATCTGAGCTCACTCCAAAGAGTATTAGTGTTTACCTCCCCATGATCTATCTGTATCTCCATAGGTGATTGGAAGTAGAGATGAATTGGGGGATTTGGGTGAAGGGGCAAGTTTTATGCCATGAACAGAGCACGTTCTCTATTCCAGGACCTGTGCTGGTGGGTTCAGGAGGCTTTCACATTTTCCATATGATCCCAAGCTCACAGAAAGCCAAATAAGGAAGAGGTTTAACCTGATTGTTTAATGGATAAGATAAAGGGTCAAAGAATTAAACACAGAGAAATAGAAAAATGATGGTTGGTATCCAGTTGCCTTTGTAATTTCTGTGTGTCATATTATAATTATGTATGTTTTATTTTTATTTTTTGAGACAGAGTCCCCCTGTGTCAGGCTGGAGTGCAGTGATGCGATCTCAGTTCAACCTCTGCCTCCAGGGTTGAAGCCATTCTTCTGCTTCAGCCTCCCCAGTCGCTGGGATTACAGGCAGGTGCCAATGCACCAGGCTAATTTTTGTATTTTTAGTACAGACGGGGTTTCACCATGTTGGCCAGGCTGGTCTCAAACTCCTACCCTTAAGTGATCTACCCGCCTTGGCCTCCCAAAGTGTTGGGTTACAGGTGTGAGCCCCCATCCACAGTCTTGTATATTATATTATACTAGGTCCCTTCATTTGCACCACCCCTCATGTGTCTATCGCTCCTCTGCCAGGTATGGATTTAGATGTAGAAAAAAAACACATCTCAGAAAGAAATTAATGAAACAAGGATTAAACTACTAGGAAAAATCAAACCCAGCAAGCCCTCCCTGCAAATGATTCTACCTCACAAGCATAGCTTATATCCATCTTTCATTCATTTAGTGTGTAAATCAACCCTACGTTTCACCAGTGGGGCGGGAATTGCCTTTTCCACCGTCTCCTAGATTCCAGTTACGCACCTGGGCCTCCCTTATTTTCATGTCGGTCACTATTAATCAGGTAGGGATTCCTAGTTAGCTCTGAGTTGAATCCAATGGCTGTGAGTATCAAACACACGCTCCTTGTTCCTCCTTAGTTTCCTGTGTACCCAGTGTGCTCTCCATCTCTCTACAGTTGTCTTGTCATTCTCCCCACTTCATTCCCAGCATTTGAGGCAGAGCCTCTTCCTTGAACTAAGAATGTTTCCACCTTTGTGCCTTCACGGCTGAGAGCTCAGTGTGGAAAATCCTTCCGCCAATCTTCCAAGGGTTGAATCCATTTTTTCCATTAAGGTCACAAATATTATCTGATCAGTGAGACCTTCTCTGTCACCTGAAATTATATACTCAGCATTATCTATTACTTATTTTAAATCCTGGCTGGGCGCAGTAGCTCTCGCCTGTAATCTTTGCACTTAGGGACGCTAAGGCGGTGGGATCACTTGAGATTGGGAGTTTGAGACAGCCTGCACAACATGGTGAAACCTCATTTCTACTAAAAAAATATACCAAAAAAATTAGCCGAGTGTGGTGGCGCACAGCTGTAATCCCAGCTACTCGGTAGGCTGAGGCAGGAGAATTGCATGAACCCAGGAGGCAGAGGTTGCAATGAGCTGAGATTGTGCTACTGCACTCCAGCCTGTGGAACAGAGAGAGACTCTACTCAAAAAAAAAAAGAAAACAAAAAAAACACACACACACAAAAAACCCCAGATTTGGTGCACAGATGCTTCCCAATGGATCATTCATTTATTGGTACCCTTGTGCATTCATTCTCTGCCCTCGCATTTACCCATCTGCAATATCAGCGTCCCAAGAGCAGAGGCCAAATGCATCCTGTTTACCATTTGTGGAAGGCAGGAGAATGCTGCCCCACCCCCAAAATGTCCCTGTCTTAGCCTCCATAGCTTGTGAATATGTTATTTTACAGGAAAGGAGGAATGAAGATTGCAGATGGCATTACGGTTGCTAATCAGCTGAACTTAAAAAGAGGGTACGCTGGATGATTTTAGGGAGATTGAGATGGATTATCTTGGTGACCCCAATAGAATCCCAAAGTCCTTAAAAGATGAGGAAGAAGGCAGAGCAGGATTCAGAGAAAAAGGTGTGGGTAAAGAAGAAGAGTCTGAATGATGCCATGTGAGACGTGACCAGCCTTTGTGGGCTTTGAGGAAGGAGGAAGGAGGAAGGGGACCAGGGGCCCAGGAACGTGGGAGCCTCTAGGAGCTGGGAAACGTTAAGGAGCAGATTCTTGCTTGGAACCTTAAAAAGAAATCCAGCCTTACTGTCCCTTTGATATCAGCCCAGTGAAATGCAGTTCATACTTCTGAGTTACAGCACTGTGAGATAATTAAGAAAAACATGTTTTCATCCACGAAGCTTGTGGAAATTTGTTATGGCAACAATAGGAAAAGATTCCACACTGCACAGCCTGAGCATGGGGCATTGGCTGAACGAGTGAGTGAGTGGAAGTGTCGTGTGCATAAATAAGCTAAATTCTCTCTTACTGCACGTCTCTTGCTCTGCTGAGTCAACCAGGGTTGCATCTGGTACACTGCTGATACGAATGTAAATTAGTACAGCCATTACAGAGGAGAAGAGTATGGAAGTTCCTCAAAAAATAAAATGAGGTCGGGCACAGTGGTTCATGCCTGTAATCCCAGCACATTGGGAGGCCGAGGTGGGTAGGTCACTTGAGGTCAGGAGTTGAAGAGCAGCCTGGCCAATATAGCGAAACTCTGTCTCTACTAAAAATATAAAAATTAGCCGAGTGTGGTGGTGGGAGCCAGTAACCCAGCTACTTGGGAGGCTGAGGCTGGGGAATCTCTTGAATCCTGGAGGTGGAGGTTGCAGTGAGCCCAGATGGCGCCACTGCACTCCAGCCTGGGCAACAAGAGTGAAACAGTCTAAAAAAAACAAAAACAAAAACAAAAACCATAAAACAAAATGTAAAAAGACACTTCCAGAGGATCTAGCAATTCCATGACTGGGTGTAAACCCAAAGGAAAGGACATCAGCGTATCGAAGTGACATCTGCACTCCCATGACTGTTCCAGCAGTGTTCACAGTAGCCAAGATGTGGATCAACCTACCTGCCCATCAGTGGGTGAATGGATGGAGAGAATGTGGTACACACACACAATAGGGACAACTCATCCATAGAAAGAGTAACATCCTGTCATTTACAGCCACATGAATGGAACTGGAGGTCATTACAAGTATTTCCATTTCTCACTCATATGCAGGAGCTAAAAGGTGGATCTCACAAAGGTAGAGAGTAGAATGGTGGCTACCAGAGGCCAGGAAGGGAAGGGTGGAGGGTAAAAAAAAAAGAATACTAATTAATTAATTAATTAATTTTGAGAGAGTGTCTCTCTCTGTTGCCCAGGCTGCAGTGCAGTGGCATGATCTCAGCTCACTGCAACCTCCGCCTCCTGCAATTAAGTGCAACTCCTGCCCAACCCTACCAAGTAGCTGGGACTACAGGCATGTGCCACCATGCTCGGCTAATTATTATCATTATAATTATTATTTTGTATTTTTAGTACAGATGGATTTTCCCCATGTTGGCCAGGGTGGTCTTGAGCCCCTGATCTCAAATGATCCACCTGCCTTGGCCTCTCAAAGTGTTGGGATTACAACCGTGAGCCACCGTGCCCAGCCTATAAATGTATTTATGAACAGTAGACTTCACACTTAAAAATGGTAAAGGTGGTAAATTACATAGGTATATTTCACCTCAATAAATATTTCTTCAAACAAAAAGAAAAGGGTGTAGGCGTTGCTGGTGATGACATCTCTCTGTGGGTGACAGGCCAGGATGGGCTTCTGGGAAGTGGGTAAGGTTGAGGGGCTGAGAGAACCTCTGATCTCCCCAGGCAGAGCCCAGTCTCCCTCCTCTGGGTCTGTTCTGACCTCTTTCTCCATCTGCCTGGGTGCCTGGAACCCTGATCAAGGGCATCCTTGCAGGCCATACAGGAGGGTTTGGAGGTGCCCTGTCTGCCATCCTGCGCCCTGACCCCGCCCTTACACCCATGCTGTGTGTTCTGTCTCGGCATCTGTCCATGCTTCTCTCCATCATCAGCAGGAAGCTCCTCAGCTATGGCTCTAGGATCACAAGACATGGGACAGGCATGGTGTTTTCTCACCTGTGACAGAAACGGGCAGTGGGTCACTCGGGTCTGACCACGCATGGGGCAGGGCACGGAAAGAGCCGAAGCATCTGTAGTTCCCTCCGTGGGTCACAGGGCCCAGAGGGAAGTTGGCCTGGAATGTTCCATTGACCCTCAGCACTGCAGTGAGCCTAAGTTCACCGGCCTCCGCCTCCCTGGATAGATGGTAAATGTCAAACAAGCTCCGGGAGCTGCAGGACAAGGTCACATTCTCTCCTGCCTGAACCGTGGGGCCCGGCTGGGCTGAGAGAGAAGGTTTCCCATATAGACCTGGAAGAAGAAGAGGTGGTTTCCTCAGGGAGGTTCTTCCTTGTCACAGCTCTCCTCACACCTGAGCTGAGAACTCACTCCCCTGCTCTATGACTTAATGCTCTCTTTCTCTCTCTCACCCTCCACCCCCATCTCTCTTCATGTCTATTTCCTCCTTCCACCTTCTCTGTCTCTCTAGGTCTCTGACCTCACTTCTCCATCCCTAGCTATGTTTTCTTTTTTTGTACCATTTTATTCTCTCTGACCCTCCTTGGACTGGTTGACTTGATCTTCCTCTTTCTTTAATTCTGAGTCTCTCACTTTCTGTCTTGCTCATAACTTTCTGCATATTTCTATCTATTATCTATTGATCGATCTATCATTTATCTATGTATGTATCTATCATCTATCATCATCTGTGTATCTATGACCTATCTCTCTGTTATCTATCATCTATCAATCAATGTATGTATGTATGCATCTATCCATCTATCATCATGTGTTTATCTGTCTTTCTATCTCTCTATATCTATTTATATATCATCTGTCTGTCTTTCTACTTGTCTATCTATATCATCTATCAGTCATTCATCATCTATTTGTCTATCACCTGTCTCTCTATTATCTATCATCTACCTTTTATCTTTCATCTATCTATATCTATCTGTCCATCTATCATCTGTCTCTCTCCATCTCCTTGTCTTTCTCTGCCTCTCAGTCTCTCTAGTTCCCTTTTGGAGTCTCTGCAATCCATCCTCACATCTTTATCTTTCCCTGTCTTTGTGCCCCTCCCTCAGGGCTCTGATTTTAGGGCTTTTCTCTGCTTCCTTCCATCATACGCTCCACTTCTCTGCCCTCTTTTTCTATCTCTTTATGTGTCTGTGAGTCTCTCAATTCCCTTCTTCTGGCTCATTCTGTGTGTGTGTTCATGTCTTTGCTTTTTGATTTCCCTGATTTCACTCCGTGTCTCTCTGTGGGCTTTTGTTCTCAGTAATCCTATAACATGTGGTGCTATTTGAATATGAGCCTCAGAATCCAGTATGGGGACTCCAGGAACTCACAGCATACAGGGGTTGGTGTTCTGCTCCCTCACCTGGGGCCATGGTGTCCTGGGACGATGACAGCTCCACTGCACGGAAGGCAGAGGTTTAAGAATAAACACAACATCTGTAGGTGCCACCAGCCTGGGGCCACATGGCCCAACTCAGGCCAGATAGATGTGTCTCTTTGGGTTCTCCTGGGAGAGAACACTTTGTAGAGGTAAAACAGAATGGAACCTTCTAACCTGTGCCTGGTCTCTGAACAAAGTCAGCATAGAAGGACACCTCTCTCTGGGATATGTCTGTCTCTCTGTGTCTTCTTTACCTCTTTATCTCTTTTTCTAACACCTTGTATGGCCCCTGTGTCTGGCTTCTATGTTATGACATGAGGTCTGTACTTGTGTCTCCTGTTTCTCTGCCTTTGTTGGTACAGACCTCACCAAGTCACTTTCTCTCCATAGGAACCCCACACTCATCTTCCTCATGACCACCTGGGGCTTCCAGTCCTAGATCATTCACTCCATCTCCCAGCAAGGGTGAGAGGCAGGTCTGTATTCTCTCACCTACGACCACGATGTCCAGAGGGTCACTGGGAGCCGACAACTCATAGGGTAAGTGAGTGACAGAACCAAAGCATCTGTAGGTCCCTGCAAGGGCAGGTGTCATGGGACCCATGGAATAGTTGACCTGGGAACCCGCATCGTGGAGCTGTCCAACGAGGCGCAAGGGGTCCTCAGTGATCCCCTCTCTGTGCAGAAGGAAGTGCTCAAACCTGACATCTGACCAACATTGCAGGATGACCGTCTCTCCTGATTTCACCAGGGGACCTGGGTGGGCCAGGAGGGAAGGTTTTCTGTGGACTCCTAAGAAGAGAGGTTGTGAGTTCAGAAGGCGTCTCCCTTTCTCATCCCATTCATGGGACCTGAAATAAGTGAGGCTTCCCCTCCATGGTGTCTATCTCTCTCCTTCCTGTCTGTGTCTCCGTGTTCTTTTGTGCCCATAACCCCTGTTGCAGGTCCCTCCATCTGTCTCCCTCCCTCTTCCCTGTCTCTCTGTCTCTAGTAGCCCTGATTCCCTTCCCACTGTGCTCAGTGTCACCTCTTAGGCTGTTGTATCTGTTTCCCACTAATCTCTTTCCTGGTGTTTATGTGGGGGTGGAAGAGGAACCATGACAGGCTGCATGTCCAGGCTCTTAGCAGCCTGAATCAATCTCTTTTGGACAGATTGGAAAGGCCGGCAGGAGGTACGAACTCATCAGTAAGGCAGGCATCAGTGTCCCTGTTCCTGATGGGGATTGGGAGCCTCTCCTTTCATGTCTGTGCCTTCTCCATGGCCCCAGCTTCCATAGGGTGGCCCCTGGTGCTGGTTCCAGGAGCATCAACCCCTCCCTATGTGGATCGAGCCTGGTGGTAGCATCAGTATCCCACCCATGCTAAAATCAGTGTAGCCAACCTTCTCCTTGTTTGGTTTCTTAACCTGTGCTTCACCTGGGTTCCTGTGTTGGTTTCCTGTTGCTGCTGGAGAAAATTGTCACAAACATGGGGCAGGAGAGAATACAATGACCCCTTCCACTTCTGGAGAACAGAAATCGGACCCAGTTCTCTCTGGGCTAAAATCAAGGCATCTGCAGGGCTGTGTTTCCTCTGGAGACTCAGGGAAGAATCAGTTCCCTTGACTTCTCCAGCCCTTAGAGGCCACCTGCCTTTGTGGCTCATGGCCTTCCCCCATCTTCAAAGCCCGCTGTGGCTGATGGAGTCTCCCTCCCACGACGTTGCTCTAACCCCACTTTCCTCTTCCTCCTCCTCTCATGAGGACCCTTGTGATTACTCTGAGCACAGCAGGACAGTCCAGGCTGTCTCCCCATCGCAAGGTCAACTCATCAACAACCTGAGCTCCATCTTCCTCTTCAGTCCCCTGCCCTATAACATAAATAGTCACAGGGTTCATGGATTACCATGTAGCCATCACTGGGGACAATTATTCTTCCCACCACAGCAACTATTTCTCTGTACTGAATCCCCCTTTACCCCAAATACAGTCGGGGCCTGGATGATTGGACCCTGATGGACGCCCCCACCAGAAGCTCTGGGATTCAGGAGGTGGGACAGTGAGAAGCCCAGACAGAAAGCCTCTGACCTGTGACCATGATCACCACAGGGTTGCTGGGTGCCGACCACCCAGTGGGGGAGTGTGGGTGTGAACTGCAACATCTGTAGGTCCCTGCATGTGCTGGGGTCACAGGGCCCATGAGAAAGCTGTTCCGGAATATTCTGTTGTAGAGCTCAGGGACAGGCATCCCGTCTTCTTTGGACAGACTGAATTCATTAAACCCAAGACGAGAGCGACACTGAAGAGTCACATGTTGTCCTTCAGACACCACAGTGCCGGGCCAGGCAGAGAGGAAGGGCTTGTCCTGACCACCTGGGGGAGAAGGAGGCACCACCTTAGAGAGGAGGATGTGGAGCCGCCCCTCCCTCCCTGTGCTCAGAAGATTCTCCCATTTCCACGTTTCTAAGGCTCCTACCACACCTGGGTGCCCAGGGCTACAGGAAGGACCCATCCCGCATAGACATGGCGTCTCCCTACAGCAAGTGTCAGCTGAGAACTTTGAGCAGGTGCTGAAGAAGCGACTCTTACTAGATTTTAACACTGCAAAATTACTTACATAAAAGAACACAAGGTAGACACAGGATGGAGGGCATGATCAGCTAATGCATGAACCATAATAAACAACTGAGCCCCTATTAGAAGATCTGGAATGTCAGGGTCATGACTGTGGTTCCCCCACCTCTTAGGTAGAATGACAGCAGCCACATTGCAGCCCCTACCGTCATGGAAACGCTGGAGGGTGTGAGTTATGCTCTTGTCCTCAGAGGCCTGTTGTTCCTTGCACTGCTTCTCTCCCTTCCTCTGCCGGTGACACCACTTCCTCCCTGCACACCACTCCTTTGAGCACTTCAGTCTCCCCCTGGGTCCCCACAGACTCAGCCAAGGGAAAGAAAGGCCGGGGAGGGCTAGGACAGAACTGTGGCGAAGCTTCCCCTGGCTTCCTTTTCCTAGTTCATGAGAGATTCCCACATGGCTTCCCATGGTCAGCCCATCAGTCAACCCCCTGTGTCGCCTGCCTCCCGTTTCAGGAGCATCATCTTATGTGGGGAGATGACAACCTAAGGTTTGGGGGAAGGACTCACCCACATGTGGCCAGGGCCCCTCCAGCAAGAAGAACCCTGGAAAGAAAGATCATGATGGATGATCCATCTGTACATCACCTCCAGGCCCATATCTCCACTCCAGGCCCATATCTCCACCTCTAGGCCCATATCTCCACTCCAGGCCTATATCTCCACCTCCGTCCTATATCTCTACTCCAGGCCCATATCTCCACTCCAGGCCTATATCTCCACCTCCGTCCTATATCTCTACTCCAGGCCCATATCTACACTCCAGGCCCATATCTCCACCTCCAGGCCTGTATCTCCACCTCCAGGCCCGTGTCTCCATTCCAGGCCCATATCTGCACTCCAAGCCAACATCTCCACTCCAGGCCCGTATCTCTACTCCAGGCCCATATCTACAGTTCCAGGCCCATATCTCCACCTCCAGGCCCATATCTCCACTCTAGGCCCATATCTCCACCTCCAGGCCCGTATCTCAATTCCAGGTCCATATCTGCACTCCAAGCCAATATCTCCACTCCAGGCCCATATCTACAGTTCCAGGCCCATATCTCTACTCCAGGCCCATATCTCTACTTCAGGCCCATATCTACAGTTCCAGGCCCATATCTCCACTCCAGGCCCATATCTCCACCCCAGGCCCATATCTCCACTCCAGGCCTATATCTCCACTCCAGGCCCATATCTCCACTCCAGGCCCAGATCTCCACTCCAGGCCCAGATCTCCACCCCAGCGCTCCCTCCCTCGATTCCCTTCCAGGACTCACCAACACACGCCATGCTGACGACCATGAGCGACATGGTGCTGCCGGTGCAGACAGGCGGCTGCGCCCCAGCTCAGTTCAGCAGCACACAGGATGTTGTGAGGGGCTCATGCAGTTTACATGCTGACCACATCATGGGAGGATGACGTATGCAGGCTATTTCTACCTTGCATGAGGCCCAGTGGCTGTTTGGTCAAGAGCGGAACATGGCTTCCTGGAAATTGTTCCAACTAGAATTGACACCTTGCATCCTTCACTATAACCAACTCAAAACACGTCTCAGATCCAATCTCTCATACAGGAGATGACTGAATGCTTGGCTTACATTAAAGACTTTTGATGTATTTTTGTTGTTTTTATCTGAGATTCAAACTCTTCTTCATGTGCTATTTTCCCCAGGCTGTTCTTTGACTTCAGAGTTCAAGCAATCCTCCTGCCCCAGCATTTCTAGCAGCTGGCAGTATGTCACAATCTGCCACACCCAAGTCACAACTTTTAGAACTTTTTTTTTTTTTGAGACGCAATCTCACTTCGTCACCCAGTTTGGAATGCAGTGGTGAGACCTCGGCTCATTGCAGCCTCCACCTCCCAGGTTCACGCAATTCTCGTGCCTCAGCCTCCTAAGTAGCTGGATTTACAGGCACCCACCATCACGCCCACCTAATTTTTGTACTTTTAGTAGAGAGGAGGTTTCTCCATGTTGGCCAGGCTGGTCTTGAACTCCTAACCTCAAGTGATCTGTCTACTTCAGCCTCCCAAAGTGCTGAGATTACAGGTGTGAGCCACCATGCCTGGCCGGGACATTCTATATGTGTGCGTATGTGTGCGTTTATATACATATGGTTATACACACACACACACACACACACCCTAAGCACTCACATATATAGTTGTTTCAAATTTTAAAAAATATAAATTTTGTATTTTTCTTTCTTTTTCTCACATTTGTGTTTCTATGACACCATATACATATTGAATTTTATAGTTCTATTTTATTCTTTTGGATTGCAGTTTAATAGTCCATACATAACTTTATCAACATGTAATTATCCACTCTTTTTATCATGGACATTTGTGTTGTTTCCGGATTTTCTCTTTTATAACTCGGGCCTTGATAATCGTGTTTCTGTGTGATCCCTTGCATACATATGCTGAATTAATTAGACATATTTACCTAGGAATGAAATTATTGGTTTTGGGTGCAAGTTGGTGTTGAGCTTAACCAGGAAGTGCCAAAATATTTCCATCATGACCAAATGTGGCCTGGAAAGTTTTTTGGGGTCAATTTTCCTGTTTCTTCTAAGGAACAAAATTGATGTCACTGATTTTTCTGTCCTGTTTGTCATTTATGAATATACGTACATATGCACGTATATATTTGCTTGCCATTTTATGTTTTTCCTCGACGTTACTTTGGAATTAATTTGCTGATGTGTAGTATTTCTGCAAGCGAAAGTTACCTATTTACTCAGCTCTTCCTTCTTTTCTAACACAGACATTTGAGGCTTATTTTCCTTTAACACTGTTCTATCTGTATCCCCAGTCATTTGCCGAGATGTGTTTTCATTTTTAATTGATACAAAATATTTTCCACCTTTCTTTGAAATGTTTTTCTTCCACTCATTGTTTATTGCTATGTGTGTTTATTAATTTTAAAATATTTGATAATTTCCCCAGCATTTCCTTGTTGTACATTTATAATTTAATTCAACTGTTTCATCTATCATATTACCTATGATTCAGCATTTAAAAATTTATTTTGGTGAATGTTCCAGGGGTGCTAGACAAGTTTGTGGATTAGGAAGATTTGAGGTGGATGTTTTCTAAATGTCAGTTAAGAAAAAAATCATTCAAATGTTTTTCTTTATTTAAAAAAAATAGAGACGGGGTCTCACTATGGTGCCCAGGCTGGTCTCAAACTCCTGGCCTCAAGTGATCCTCCCATTTTGGCCTCCCAAAGTGCTAGGATTATTGAAATTATTAAATGTTTCATATCAACACCCAACCTTATGCACCCGCCGCCTACACAAATGTTTTTCAAGTCTTTCATATGCTTAATAATTTTCTGTGTACTTGTTCTGGAAGTGAGGTGAATGTTGCTATCTCTAGCTGCAATTTGGATGTGATTGATTATGTTTTGAATTATGCCTTTAATTTAATGTGTTTTGAGGTTCCAGCTTTAGGTGTGTAGGCATTTAGGATTATTATGTCTTATTTATGAATTTGCCTCTTTGTCATTATGAAGTACTCCTCTTCATATCTCCATATATCTCTTCTTTGTATGTGCATGGTGAAATATTTCATTCTTTGAGTTAAGAAACTTCTATTGAGGAATACTTTTTATTACAAACATTTACCTATTCTATGTATACAACTGACTAGAAGCATATTTTGCACTGGGCATTATCATGACAATGTAATGTCATTCTTTCAATATTTACATCTTGTGGATTAGTATTTGAAGTGCAGCTTATGTAGACAGCATAAGGTTGGGTGTTGATATGAAACATTTAATAATTGCACACGTATTTGCCTCTTGGGATACTTCCACTTTTTTGAATTTCAAGTTACTAAATGGTATCATTAATCTTTGCTTCAAGAGCTTAACATTTATTGTAGAACAATGCTTCATGTAATAAATTGTGAGACATTTTTAATGGCACCTTTATTGCAGGAAAATGTTTTCCTTTTCAGGTTGAAAGATTCTAGTTTGAAATATTTTCTTGTAGCACTTTAAAAATGTTGGTCCACCTATTTCTTACTTTCATAGTTTTGAATACAAAGTTTGCTGTCATTCTTGTATTTCTTCTTCTGTTTTTTATTTATTTATTTTTGACAGAATATCTTGCCGTCTCACCCAGGCTGGAGTGCAGTGGCATGATCTTGGCTCACTGCAACCTCTGCCTTCCAGGTTTCAGCAATTCCTGCCTCAGCCTCCTGAGTAGCTGGGACTACAGGCATGCGCCACCATACCCAGCCAATTTTTTTTTTTGTATTTTTTTTTTGTAGAGATGAAGTTTTGCCATATTGGCCAGAACTCCTGACCTCAAATGATCCACCTGCTTTGGCCTCCCAAAGTGCTGGGATTACAGGTGTGAGCCACTGTGCTCAGGCTATTTATTCCTTTTTATATAATATGAATTCACATTCATACATACCAGGGGTTAGGATTTCAACAAACGTTTCTGGGGGAGACCACTCAAAACACAGCACTCATCCTTGGTTATTTCCAGCCATGGAGCCTGTATCAATATCCTGGTGAATTATCTAAGCTGTCCACCTACCTACCCCAAATCCTCATGGTCACATAAAAGGCTAGTATAGTATAATAATTTTTCTTTCCCTGCTTATCTACAGTGATGAAGAAACGAATATTCAAAGGGAAAAATCTTAGCTTTAGGTATAGGGTAATTCTTCTTCCTATTTTTAAATAACTTCAACCTTTACTGTAGATTAAAGGTATGCATGCAGGTTTGTTACATAGGCATATTGTGTGACTCTGAGGTTTGTGGTTCCAACAATGCCATCACCCAGGCAATGAGCATAGAATCCAACAGGTGTTTCTTCAGCCTATACCTCCCTACTCCTCCCCCCATCTGTAGTCCTCGGTATCTGTTGTTTCCATCTTTATGTTCATGTGTATTCAATGTTTGGTTCTCAGTTATAAGTGATAACATGTGGTATTTGGTTTTCTGTTCCTGGGTTAGTTCACTTAGGAGATTGACCTCCTGCTACATTCATGTTGCTGCAAAGGACATGATTTCATTATTTTTTATGGCCATGTAATGTTCCATGTGTATATGTAGCACATTTTCTTTAACTAATCCACTGTTGGTGAGCACTTAGGTTGACTGCAAATCTTTGCTATTCTGAATTGCACAGCAATGAATATACTAGTGCATGTGTCTTTTTGACATAGTTAATTACCTTCCTTTTGGTATATACCCAGTAGTGGGATTGCTTGATTGAATAGTAGTTCTATTTTAAGTTATTTGAGAAGTCTCCAAACTGCTTATCACATTGGCTGAACTAGTTAACATTCCCACCAAGAGTGTATAAGTGTTCCCTTTTCTCCACAATCTTGTCAGCATCTGTTATTAAAAAAAACAAAAAACTTTTTAGTAATTGCTTCTGCTTCTCTGATTGTTGTGAGATGGTATCTCACTGTGGTTTTAATTTGCATTTCTCTGATGATTACTGATAATAAGCATTTGTTCATATGTTTTTTGGCCATGTGTACATCTTCTTTTGAGAAGTGTCTGTTCATGTCATACTTAATTGAGGTTTTTTGGTTTTCTGCTTGTTGATTTGTTTACATTCCTTATAGATTCTGGATATTAGAACTTTGTCAGATGCATAGTTTGCAAATATTTTCTCCCAGTCTGTAGGTTATCTGTTTACTCTGTTGATACTTTCGTTTGCTGTGCAGAAGCTCTTCAGTTGAGTTAGGTCCCAATTTCTGTCTTTGTCACAATTGGTTTTGGGGAGTTAGCCATAAATTCTTTGCCAAAGTCTATCTTGAGAAGGATATTTCCTAGGTTTTCTTCTAGAATTTTAATATTTTGAGGTTTTACATTTAAATCTTTAAACTATCTTGGGTTAATTTTTGTATATAGTGAGAGTTAGGGGTCCAGTTCTATTATTTTGCATATGAGTAGTCAGTTATCCCAGAACTATTTATTGAAGAAAGGGTACTTTCCACATTGCTTGTTTTTGTCAATTTTTTCAAAGATGATTGTAGGTATGTAGCCTCATTTCTGGGTTCTCTATTCTGTCTCATTGGTCTATGTGTCTGTTTTTGTAGTAGTATCATGCTGTTTGGGTTACTATAGCATTGTAGTATAGTTTGAAGTTGGGTAATGTGATGCCTGGGCTTTGTTCTTTGTGCTTAGGATTCCTATGTGTATTCAGGCTCTTTTTTTGGTGCCAAATACATTTTAGAATAAATTTTTATAATTTCGTGAAAAATGACATTGCATTTTGAAATGGATAGCATTGAGTCTGCAATTTGTTTTTGGAAGTATGGCGATTTTAACTATTTGTTCTCCTAATTCATGAGCATGGAATATTCTTCCATTTGTTTGTATCATTTCTTATTTCTTTCAGAAGTGTTTTGTAGTTCTCCTTGTAGAGAATTTTCACCTTCTTGGTTAGATGGATTCCTAGGTATTTTATTTTCTTTGTGGCTAGTGTAAATGGAATTGTGTTCTTGATTTAGTTCTCAGCTAGAATGTTAGTGGTGCATAGAAATGTTACTAATTTGTGTACATTTTTTTAATCCCGAAACTTTATTGAATTTGTTTATCAGTTTCAGGAGCCTTCTGACAGAGTCTTTAGGGTTTTCTATGTATAAAATTATTTCATCAGCAAAGAGAGACAGTATCACTACTTCTTTTCCAATTTTAATGCCTTTTATTTCCTTCTCTTGCCTGATTGCTTTGGCTAGGACTTCCAGTACCATGTTGAATTAAAATGGCGGGAGTGGTCATCCTGGTCTTGTTTCGGTTCTCAAGGGGTATGGTTCCAGCTTTTGCCCATCAATATGATGTTGGCTGTGGGTTTGTCATAGATGGCTCTTAATATTTTGAGGTATGTTCCTTTGATGCCTATTGACAGTTTTTATCATGAAGGGATGTTGGATTTTACAGAAAGCTTTTTCTGCATCTATTGAGATGATCATATAGTTTTTGTTTTTAATTATGTTTATGAGGTGAATCACATTCGTTGACTTTGTAGGTTGAACCAACCTTGCATCCCAAAAATAAAGCTTACTTGATCATGTGAATTAACTTTTGATGCACTGACAGATTCAATTTGCTAGCATTTTGTTGAGGATTTTATGTCTATGTTCATTAAGGATATTTAGTTGTAGTTTTCTTTTTTTCATTATGTCTCTGACAGATGTTGGTATCATGGTGATGATGGCTTCATAGAATGAGTTAGGAAGAAGCCCCCACTCCTTGATTTTTTCCAAAAGTTTCAGTAAGATCGGTATCAGTTCTTCTTTGTATGGCTGTTGGATTTTGGCTGTGAATCCATCTGGTCCTGGGCTATTTTTAGTTAGTAGGGTTTTTATTACTGATTAAATTTCTGAACTTGTTATTGGTCTGTTCAGGTTTTCACTTTCTTCCTGGTTGAAATATGATAAATTTTGTGTTACCAGGAATTTATCCATTTCTTCTAGGTTTTCTAGCTTGTTTGTATAGAGGTGTTCATAATAGTCTTTGACGATCTTTTCTATTTCTGTGGGATTGTTCGTAACATTGTTTTGTCAGTTCTATTTGTGTTTATTTGGATCTTTTCTCTTTTTCTTTGTTAATCTAGCTAACAGTCTATGAATTTTGTTTATTTTTTTTCAAAGAAAAACTCTTGGTTTTATTTATCTCTTGTATGGACTTTTTGGTCTCAATTTATTCAGTTCTCTCTGACTTTAGTTATTTCTCATCTTTTGCTGGCCTTGGGTTTGGACTGTTCCTTTTTTTTAATAGTTCCTCTAGATGCAGTGTTAAGTCACTAATTTGAGATCTTTCTAAACTTCTGATGAGGCATGTATTGCTATAAATTTTCCTCTTATCACTGCTTTAACTGCATCCCAAAGGTTTTGGTAAGTTTGTTTCTATTTTTATTAATTTTAAATAATGTTTTGTGATTTCTGCTTTAATTTCATTGTTCACCCAAGAGTTCTCAAGGGGTACAGTTCCAGCTTTTGACCATTCAATATGATGTTGGCTGTGGATTTGTCATAGATGGCTCTTAATATTCATTCAGAAACAAGTTGTTAAATTTCCATGTTTTTCTGTAGTTTTGAGAGATCATCTTGGTATTTTTTTCTATTTTTATTGTGTGCCTTGTTATGATTTTGATTCTTTGAATTTATTGAGACTTGCTTTGTGGCCAGTCTTAGAATATGATATGTTTTTTGTGTGTGCAGATAAGAAGAATCTATATTCTGCAGTTGTTGGGTGGAGTACTCTGTAGATGTCTATGAGGTCCAATTGGTCAAGTGTTGTCTTTAAGACCAGAATTTCTTTGTTAGTTTTCTGTTTTAGTGATTCATCTGACGTTGTTAGTGGGATACTGAAGTCCCTTACTATTATTGTGTGGCTGTCTAACTCTTTTCATAGGTGAAGAATAACTTGTTTTATGAATCGGGGTGCTCCAAATTTGGGTGCATATATATTTAGAATAGTTAAGTCTTCTGTCAAATTGAACCCTTTATCATTTTGTAATGCCCTTCTTTGTCCTTCCTGATTGCTGTTGATTTAAAGTGTGTTTCATGTGATATAAGAATAGGAATGCCTTCCTTTTTTTTGTTTCCTGGTTGCCTAGTAAATATTTCTTCATCCTTTTACTTTGAGCCTGTGGGTGTCATTACATGTGAGATGGGTCTCTTGAAGACAGCAGGCAGTTGGCTCTTGGCTTTTTATCCACGTTGCCACTCTATGCCTTTTATGTGGGGAATTTAGGCCATTTACATTTCTTCTCCTGATATATCCTTTTTATATTTTTATGATTGCCTTTTAAAATATATTGAATGGTTGTAATTCCAGGGAAATGTCTTTCAGAACAGTATTTATTCCCATCTACATGTTTTGGAGAGTGCACTAGGGGACATTGAAGTTTATTTCCTGAAAAGAGTTTAATTTTAAAATGTATTTTATTTAATAACTCAATGATTCAGGGAATGTCTAGGTATTTCAGAGATTGTTTTAGACAGTTTGTTTTCTTGTGATATGTGACCACTTCATCTAAGCTGAATAATGTCTTCATAATGTCCACTTAGAATCTTTTGAATTCTGTAGGATCTGTACTGATGTCATTGTTTCCTTTCTGATATTGGTAATTTTCCTGGGGTAGGATTCTTAGCTCCTCCTGAGGTCCTGCCTCTAAAATTCAGGGAACAATGAGTCAGATTAGTACTCTGATTTCAAAGGGAAAGCTGATCATCTACCATTTTTTGTTTATGTAAATGGACACATTAACATCCCTTGTCTGAACCTTAGTTACCTTGTTTGGAGCATTTTGCTATAAATCTCACTTCTCAGAGTGGTTGTGGGGCTTGATGTGGCTGGGGTATGGGATGGCTTAAACATAATTTATTTCCAGACCAGGTTAAGGCATGAAGGGGTTGGGACTTGTTAGAATCCTGTTGTCGGACTCCACAGTAAGGGTAGACATTTGAGGCACCCAATCAAAAACCTCAGTTGTTCCTAGCACTGAGAAATTTGATAGAATGTTTCTAAAACATTATTCATGGTCTAATGCACAAAAAGTAAAGTGATAGCCCTGGAAGTAGACAGGGAACCATAAGAAAAAAGAGAGAGCAAAGCTCAGTGGTCACCAGTGCCTGGGACCATCAAGGGGTTATTAAGGAGGAAGTTTCCACCTCTGTGGGGAACAGAAGAGGCTCCCTAGGGTCCACACACACAGGGAGTGAGCCAAGACTCTGGGCGAGGCTGGAAGCTCTGGGTCTCCTTCTGTGAGATTTTCTTTTTTTTTTTTGAGATGGAGTCTTGCTCTGCCACCCAGGCTAGAGTGCAACGGCGCGATCTCGGCTCATGGCAACCTCTGCATAAAGTGGTATGTATTTAAGGCATGCATTAGACAAATTACTAAGTATTTACTAGATAAGAAAAAATTATATCTGAATCTTTTCAAATTGCCGTCTTATGCATTATATTCTCTTTTTATAGTGCAATTTCTTAATAGTTAATGCCAGAAGATTTTTTTTTCTTCCTTTCTTTCTTTCTTTTTTTTTTTTTTTTGAGACAGAGTCTCACTCTGTTGCCAGGCTGGAGTGCAGTGGCACGATCTCGGCTCACTGCAACCTCCGTCTCTCGGGTTCATGCCATTCTCCCGCCTCAGCCTCCTGAGAAGCTGGGACTACAGGCACCCTCTACCATGCCCAGCTATTTTTTTTTTTTTTTTTGTATTTTTAGTAGAGACGGGGTTTCACCATGTTCGCCAGGATGATCTCTGTCTCTTGAACTCGTGATCCACCTGCCTTGGCTTCCCAAAGTGCTGGGATTACAGGCATGAGCCACTGCACCTGGTCGCCAAAAGATATTTTTAAAAACCTAAATGCCACTTGAAATGAATAAGACCCTCAATAATTCATGGGATATACATGTGAACTTATGACATATGATGAAATAAGCAGGTTACAAAATTGTAATATATCAAGCAAGGTAGAAAGCCATGGCAGAAAAAGAGACAAGCATTTTCAAGATAAGGAATGAAAGAGGGGAAACAGTACTATTGATTTTACAGATTTTACAAAGATATCTTAGGTGTGTTTTCCTAAATAATAAATGTACCCTCCTTTTGACCTTTATGTAATGAAATAACCATGCACACATTTTCAAATAATACTTCATTTACTTGACTTTATGCTTGAAAATTGAAGTATGGTGCTGTTTGTTATTTTCATTTATGCATTTTACTACCTTGTAATATTCCACTGAGTCTATTTACCACACTATGTTTATTTTTTTCGTAGGTGGACTTTGGTATTTTATAGCTTTGGCTAATAGGAACAGCATTCCTATAACAGTTGTGAGTGTATCATGACACATAAGTAGACATTTATCTCTAGGGTACATAATTAAGTACATAATTAAGAAGGGTCACAGCCATGTGCCTCCTCTTTTTAACTAGATAATTCCAATACACTTCCTTAATTGATTAAAGCAATTTGTACTCTTACTATTAATGTACTAAAATTCTACATGTTCAATATTCTTTCCAAAAAATGATTTTGCTACTTTTTTCTTTTCTTGAGACTGAGTCTTGCTCTATCACCCAGGCTGTAGTGATCTCGGCTCACTGCAACCTCCGCCTCCTGGGTTCATGCGATTCTCGTGCCTTGGCCTCCCAAGTAGCTGGGATTACAGGCAGGCGCCACCATGTCTGGCTAATTTTTGTATTTTTAGTAGAGACAGCGTTTCACCATGTTGGCCAGGCTGGTCTCGAACTCCTGACCTCAGGTGATCCTCCTGCCTCGGCCTCCCAAAGTGTTGGGATTACAGGCATGAGCCACCACACCCGGCCTATTTTTTTCTTTTCCCTCCATTGTGCTATGATTTTTGACATTACAATTTTACTGAAACTACACCATAAGAATGAAGCAGAAATTATTATAACCTTTAAATAAACTTTACAACTGGTTCATACTCGTGTGAACGACAATTCTTTTGACTACTTCCCAACTGTGCATTCAATGGCGTCATATGGGCACCCTGAAGTTGGCCATAAAGGACGTATTTATACCACACTAATCAGCAAATACCATAAATCTGGGGCTTTATATGTTCAGAGTTTTCTTAAGAAAATAATTTTTTCAGAGAGCCAGTTTAACAGAATACCATGAGGCTGAGCCTTCGAGCGTTAGTGTGCTCATTCTGAGAGATGATATTTCTGGACAAAGTACACAGGTATCATCCGATGAAGAGTGAAGGGAATTCAGGGTCCAGAGAGGGTGCTAGGGCATCATTTCAGACTCATATTTCCCTTTTTTTTTTTTTTTTTGGAGATGGAGTCTTGCTCTGTTGCCCAGGCTGGAGTGCAGTGGCAAGATCTTGGCTCACTGCAACCTCCGCCTCCCGGGTTCAAGCTATTCTCCCGCCTCAGCTTCCTGAGCAGCTGGGATTACAGGTGCTCACTGCCACACCCAGCTAATTTTTGTATCTTTTAGTAGAGACAGGGTTTCACCATGTTGGCCAGGTTGGTCTCGAACTTCTGACCTCAAGTGATCCGCCCACCTCAGCCTCCCAAAGTGCTGGGATTACAGGTGTGAGCCACTGTGCCTGGCCTCAGACTCATGTTTCAAAGTCCCAAATACAAATCTGCCCACCTATTCCAGTTATTTAATCCAGATCTATGCTCAGAACTGAAAAGATGGAGAATCAATAGTTCACTTTAGAGAATGCGGTAGTTGGAAACAAAGACAAATGTATTACATGACAGTGGACCAGAGCACGTGATCGCAGGGGTGTGGATGCAAACCCACCATGGGGGACGTGCCTTCACATCACAGAGAGCGAAAGGAAGGGAGGGGCAGACACGGAGGATCCACAACAGCAGGACTGAAAGCACTGCCATTTAATGGAAGTTTAATGGAGGAAGCGTTCTCTACAGGCACCCAGACATCTTCCTGAACCTGACCCAAGCCTCCCCTTCTCGACTTTCTCAGTAGACGGTTTCCCGAATGATGGTCCAGACTTTCTTCCAGAACCTCCTAGGACTATCAGATTCATTGCCAAGGCTCTGGCACTCTGAAGGGTGCATTGTTCTCTCATGTATTTACCTCCTTGCTGCATCTTGGGGACTTCTCTAGCTGTGCCAGTCCTAAAGCAGCAGAATCCCGAGGACCACCAGGACCAAGCCAGCCACAGCCACGCGGATGAGATTCTCCACTGTGTAATCCTGGGGGTGTGAGGCTGGGGATGGTGGACCAAGAGGTCTCAGAGGTCAGGGCAGATCAACATCACCCGGGACCCCTGGATGTCCACCCAGGGCACCCACCTCCCCTTCACAGGACCTGACCCTCTGTGCCAGCCCCATAACCGAGAGCATCTCCTTACACACCAGTCTTGGAGTCTGTCTTGTTTTGCGATGGGCTGAGGGTCTCAGCTGCTCCTGAGAATCAACCAAAAAAGGGGGAGGTGTGTGAGGAGTTGAAGAGACTTAAGCCAACATGTCCCTCAGTTGCTGCATTCCTTTGTGTCTACACTTCTCCTAACTGCTCTGTAGTTGTGTGATAGAACCTTTCCCTGCCGTGGCAGAGGTACATTCGCATACATACATACATATATGCATAGGTGTAAATATGTGTGTATACATAATATGTGTTATGCATATGTGTATACATAATATGTATTATGCATATGTGTATAGATAATATGTATTATGCATATGTGTATGCATAATATGTATTATAAGATATAGTGTGAGTATATATAAATATATAATATATAAGATATATAATAGTGTGTGTATACATATAAATATATAATAAGATATGTAATAGTGTGTGCATATATAAATATATAATATATAATAAGATATATAATAGTGTGTATATATAAATATATAATACATAATATATTATAAGATATATAATAGTATGTATATATAAATATATAATACATAATATATAAGATATATAATAGTGTGTGTATATATAAATATATAATACATTATATATTATAAGATATATAATAGTATATATAAATATATAGTACATAATATATAATAAGATATATAATAGTGTGTGTATACATATAAATATATAATAAGATATGTAATAGTGTGTGCATATATAAATATATAATATATAATAAGATATATAATAGTGTATATATATAAATATATAATACATAATATATTATAAGATATATAATAGTATGTATATATAAATATATAATACATAATATATAAGATATATAATAGTGTGTGTATATATAAATATATAATACATTATATATTATAAGATATATAATAGTATATATAAATATATAGTACATAATATATAATAAGATATATAATAGTGTGTGTATACATATAAATATATAATAAGATATGTAATAGTGTGTGCATATATAAATATATAATATATAATAAGATATATAATAGTGTATATATATAAATATATAATACATAATATATTATAAGATATATAATAGTATGTATATATAAATATATAATACATAATATATAAGATATATAATAGTGTGTGTATATATAAATATATAATACATTATATATTATAAGATATATAATAGTATATATAAATATATAATACATAATATATAATAAGATATATAATAGTGTGTGTATATATAAATATATAATACATAATATATATTATAAGATATAATAATGTGTGGGTAATATAAATATATAATACATAATATATAAGATATATAATAGTGCATATATAAATATATAATACATAATATATATTATAAGATATAATAATGTGTGGGTATATATAAATATATAATACATAATATATATTATAAGATATAATAATGTGTGGGTATATATAAATATATAATACATAATATATAAGATATATAATAGTGTATATATAAATATATAATACATAATATATATTATAAGATATATAATAGTGTGTGAGTATATATAAACACATACATATATATTTGAAGTGAGAAGAGTATTATATAATTTAGAAACAAACAAGTTTGTCCTCCATTTTCTTGTGGTTAATGTAATTATTATCAATAAATCAGAAGAGATCATTTCGGAAAGGATTGAAAGGGAGTGTGTCTGTGGTAAGTTAATAGGAACTAAAATTAGCATACCCAAACCAATAGCTTTCTCATCCATACGTAACTAATTTTAGAAAATAGAAAGGAATCAAAGACTTTCAAATTATTCAAGTAGTAAAACAATGCTTAAAATTCACAATGTCCACAATTTTTATGAATACAACTTCAAGCATCTGCTAACTGTATAAAGTTTAATTTTAAATGTATTGGATACAAAGACATTATTAATGAGAAGTTATTCTCCATCATGAATGCACATATTTAATTTAATCCCAAAGAAAATCAGAGCACAGTTATTTTACATCATAACGCTACCTAACAAATTAAATGTGTAAATTATAAATGCCAGCATTGCTTTGAAATCTTCAGAAACAGAAAGAGAAACTAGATATGTGGACATAAAAAATAAAGGACAGAAAGGAATTGCACACGAGGTTTGCTGTTGAATAATTTGCCTGCATTGCTGCAGTGAGCAGGTGCATGATCTCCCCTTCGTCTCAGGTATGCACTGAGTATTTTGGGGCCGCCAGGGGAGCCCAGGTGGGGAGTGGGTGGGGCCTCCATCTTCTACCCTCAGCCTAAGCATGATTCCTCCAAGGTTTCTCCATATCTCATTTCAGCCCTCCCTGGCCTTTAGCCCCATCTGAGGTCTCTGGGGTGGGAGCCCAGGATTAGGAGGTCCCTGACTATTTCCACCCTCTCATGGGCTGGGCCCTCCCCTGCCGACCCTCCCCCTTTACTCCCCTCTTTCCTTAGCGTCCTGAGCTCTCCTGGGGGCAGGGCCTGAGCTGAGGTTTGAGCTCAGAGAGGACAGGGTCAGCGGCCTCACCTGAGACCACGAGCTCCAGGGGGTCACTGGGGTGAGACAGCAGGTAGGGGAAGAATCTGCGTGAGCTGTAGCACCTGTAGGTCCCCGCGTGGGCTGAGGTCACAGGACTCATGGGGAATTCAGCCTGGTGCTGCTGAGCTTGGTGCTCTGATCTCAGACGCAGTGGGTGATGGGCTGCCCCCTCCTTGGTCAGAAGGAAAGTGTCCAACTGCTCCCGTGACTGACACAGCAGGGTCACGTTCTCTCCTGAGGCCACCGTGGGGCCCGGCTGCACCGAGAGGGAGGGTCTGCCACGGATCTGTCCTGGAGAGAAGAAGGATGGGTGAGGGGCTGCCCCACCTCGTTCTGAGCTGACACCTCCCCAGGCCTCTCCCTGGGACCCTCAGTGTCTCTGTCTCTGTTTTCTCTGAGTCTCCCCCTCCCCGCCCATCCCCTGTCTCTGTCTGTCTCTCCGTCCCTTAGGACCCCCACCCCTCATCCCGGCCATCACCACCTGGGCTCCCCCAGCAGGGCCTGTGCGGAGCCTGGGTCCCTGACTGAACCTGCTGGGCTCCTCACCTGCGATCAGGATGCTCAGGGGGTCACTGGGGGCCGACCACTCGGAGGAGAGGTTGTGTGCACCGTAGCATCTGTACTGGCCCCCGTGGGAGACCCTCACAGGGCCCAGGGTGAAGTTGGCCTGGGAGAGCCCAGCCTGGGGCTGCCGGCCAGAGCCCTGGACGAGGTCATGTCCCCCCTCCTTGTACAGAGTGAATTTGTCATAGCCGACATCAGAGCCACACTGGAGGGTCAGATTCTCCCCAGGGGCCACGACAGGGCCCTGCAGGGTCAGGAGGGAGGGCTTCCTAGACACGCCTGGAGGGAAAGAAGAGTCGGGACTAGGAGGGCTGGTTCCTCCCACACCCCTTCCTTCTCCCCTCCTGGCCCTGCAGGTCTCACTGTCTCTCACACTCAGTGTCTCTGGGCTCAGGAGTCCCAAACTTCCCTTGTTCCACCCTCCTACATGGGGCTCCGTGAGAGTAAGTTCTCAAAAATAAATAGGGCAAGGAGGAAGACATCCATACCTAAGACCAGGATCTCCATGGTATCACTGGGTTCCGACCACACCCAGGGGAAGTTCGTGTAATGCCCATAGCATCTGAACATCCACCGGTGACTGGCAGCCACACGGCCCACAGGGAACAGGGCCAGGGACAAGGGACAGCCCCTTGGAGAGTTCCTGTGAGTCCAGCATCCAGGAGAGCTTGTTTTCTCCTTCCTCAATCAAAATGAACCTGTGAAATCCCACCCTTGAGCTACACTGGATGGTCACGTTCTCTCCTGAGGTCACCACAGGGCTCGGCAGGGCTGAGAGAGTGGGTTTTCTGTGGGCTCCTAGGAGAGAAGGAGACACTGTCTTAAATGGGGCTCACGCGTCCCACATCATCCCCCAGGGCTGAGTTATTAGAACGGAGATGCCCTTGAGAGCTGACCCCCTTCCTGCAGGCAGAGCCTGGGGCTGGGACCCCTGAGTGTCCTCTTACCTGTCACCACCAGCTCCAGGGGCTCGCTGCGCTCTGACCAGCCTGCAGGGCTGAGATAGTGACAGTGGTATCTCCCTGCATGGTGCTCTCTCATGGATGGGATGAAGAAGTTGGTCTTGTTCCTGGGCTCTGGTGGGCTCTGTTGGTACCAGGTCATGGGGTTTCCTTCCTTGGTGAGATAGTAACCCTGGGTATCCAGGGTCCCCTGGCACCAGAGGGTCATGGGGCTCTCCCAGGTAATCACAGAGCCTGGCTCAGCCCAGAGGCTGGGTTTGGGGAGGGTCCCTGGAAGAAACCACAGGCTGGGGTCCACAGACCTCCCCCGCTCCTCATTCCCAGCTCAGGTCACAGACCCTCTTGATTTTCTCACCCTCAGTTCAGAAGCCCCTGAGATGAGAGTCCAGGTGCTGAGTGTGAGGTCAGGCATGGGAGGTTAGCAGAGACTCACCTGCAAGTGCTTGGGCTTTCTGGCCCAGACTCAGCCATGGAGAAGAGTTTCCTGTGGGGGATTTGGAACACAGAGGTGTGGCTGCTTCCCTTCCTGTTGGAGCACCAGTAGCCACTGGAGCCCTGAGGCTCTCTGGTGAACAAGGCTGCTGTGGGACCCTCCCCACCTCAGCCCAGTGCCCCTCCTGTCCCTCGTCTCTCCACCACTGACTGAGGCACAGAAGAACAGTGAGGATGGACACCATGATGCCTGCTCTGCGTGCTCCAGCTGTGGGACAGGTGACCACATGGCCCTCCATGACAGACAGATGCACGGATGTGGTTAAGTCAGAGCCTGCTGCCGCCTGCCTGGGTCCCCACAGCTGTGAACCCACAGGAAGTGGACAGCCCCTTGCTGGGCCTGTCTCTTATTCCCCCCCCAGTGCAGGGGCTCAGGAGGACCCAGGCCCTCTGCACACATCTCAGCCCAGACCTGAGGTGTCCCCTGATTGCCAGGGATCCTTTGTCTGAAAACCTGCCCGTGGAGGGTGGACCCAACATCATATCTATGTCAGCTCCCAACTTAGCTGGGTCTAAACTGAAAACACAGCCCTTATTTTCTCAGAGCCTCCACTCATGACATCGGCTTTCTTTTTCCCCACTGATGCAAAGACAAATATTTCCCAGCAGAAAGTCATCCTGATCTGGAGAGACCCATTTCCTGCGTTCAGTAAATAAAGTCAGTTTCATTAGGGGAGGCTCTGGGAAAATAAGGGGATGCAGACTAGCAGAAGATGAACATTTAGCTACTTGTTTCTCAATTAATTGATTTATTACCAAAGAGAGAGAAGTGGAAACATGAGAATAGGGACCATGACTAGAATGTGGTTGAGGGAATGGTTTCTATCTTATTCCCTGGCAGAGAACTAAGGGATAAGAATGAGAAAGCTGGCTGGGTGCAGTGGCTTACACCTGTAATCCCAGCACTTTGGGAGGCCGAGGCAGGAAGATCACAAGGTCAGGAGTTCAAGACCAGCCTGACCAACATGGTGAAACCCCTGTCTCTACTAAAAATACAAAAACTAGCTGGGTGTGCTGGCATGCGCCTGTAATCCCAGCTACTAGGGAGGCTGAGGTGGGAGAATCGCTTGAACCTGGGAGGTGGAGCTTGCAGTGAGCCGAGATCGCGCCACTGCACTCCAGCCTGGGCAACAAAGCCGGACTGTCTCAAAAAAAAAAAAAAAAAAAAAAAAAAAGAAAGAGAGAAAACCCAGCAGTGAGAGGTAGTTGTGAGAACACACTAAAGAGGAAAGATAATCCAGGGCTGGGAGTGGTGGCTCATGCCTGTAATTCCAGCACTTTGGGAGGCTGAGGCTGGCAGATCACAAGGTCAGGAGTTCGAGACCAGCCTGACCAACATGGTGAAACCCTGTGTCTACTAAAAATGCAAAAATTAGCTGGGTGTGGTGGTGGGTGCCTGTAATCCCAGCTACTCAGGAGGCTGAGGTGGGAGAATCGCTTGAACCCAGGAGACGGAGGTTGCAGTGAGCTGAGATTGCACCACTGCACTCCAGCATAGGCAACAAAGCCAGACTCTGCCAAAAACAAAAACAAAAACAAAAACAAAAACAAAAAACAAGAAAGCTCAGTGAGAGGTGGTTGTGAGAACACACTAAAGAGGAAAGATCATTCAGGGCTGGGAGTGGTGACTCACGCCTGTAATCCCAGCACTTTGGGGGGCCACAGGCGGGTGGATTACCTGAGGGCAGGAGTTCAAGACCAGTCTGGCCAACATGGTGAAACCTCGTCTCTACTAAAAATACAAAAACTAGCTGGGTGTGATGGCGGGTGCCTGTAATCCCAGCTACTTGAGAGGCTGAGTCAGGAGAATCTCTTGAACCCAGGAGGCAGAGGTTGCAGTGAGCTGGGATCGTGCCACTGTACTCTAGCCTGGGTAACAGAGCAAGGCTCTGTCTCAAAAAAATAAAAATTAGAAAGAAAAAAGGAGAAGGAGAAGAGGAAGGAGACAGAAAGGAGAGAAACATCCCTGAGGTGGAACATTACATGCAACATGGAGTAGGCAGGGAATCCGATAGAGCACTGAAACTCTCGCTGGGTACGGTGGCTAACATCTGTACTCCCAGCACTTTGGGTGGCCGAGGTGGATGGATCACCTGAGGTCAGGAGTTTAAGACCAGCCTGACCAACATGGTGAAACCCCATCTCTACTAAAAATACAAAAGGCTGGGTGTGGTGGCTCACGCCTGTAATCCCAACACTTTGGCAGTCTGATACAGGCGGATCACATGAGATCAGGAGTTTGAGACCAGCCTGGCCAAGATGGCAAAACCTCATCTCTACTAAAAATACAAACATTACCTGGCTGTGGTGGCAGTCGCCTGTAATCCCAGCTATGCAGGAGGCTGAGGCAGGAGAATCGCTTGAACCTGAGAGGTGGAGGTTGCAGTGAGTCAAGATCGTGCCATTGCACTCCAGCCTGGCCAATAGGAGCAAAACTCCATGTGAAAATAAAATAAAATAAAATAAAATATAATAAAATAAAATAATAAATCAAAAAAGGACTGGACATCTCCTGTGGGTTGTCAGTGAATGGAACTAAGCAAGCCACCGCTCTTTCCCTTTTGTCCCGCAAGTGTCTTTCTTGGCCTCCAGGAAGTGAGTTCCATCATGTCAGACCCTATGTTTGTTCCTGCTGGGTTCACTGAGGCTCCTCCCTTTCCACCTGTGGCTCCCCATGGGTTCCCAGTCCCCAGCCAGTGTTGTGAATCGAGCCAGGAAGACCAGCCCTATCACACCCCTCCTGATGGAATTCCCACAGTGTCATCCTGGAGAACAGGGGCTGGGGGCTGGGGTAGGATCAGAGACCTTTTCATGTGGGCCAGGCCCCTCCCTCCACAGGAGCTCTGACACGAAGCTCATCACCATTCATTTCACCCTGACGATATTCTTCCTGCCCAGACACCCCCGTTCTCCCTATGTCATCATGGGCACCTCAGTGAAATCCATGGTTGAGGGTCTCTGTCACTTACTCTGCCCTCTTCTTGGAAAATTTCCTTGGATCCTTCCAGAGCCCTTCCTGAGTGTGCTGCAGGGTCTCTGCCACATGACACACTCTCAGGAACCCTCATCCTCCCCTTAATCTACTGCGCCCACATAGCCAGGTGCAGGCTCCGTTTCTTCATCTTCCCTTCCCCACAGGCCCCGATGGAGAGTGGATTAGACTCGCTCCTGAGTAGGGACTCAGGTCACTCTGACCCCTTCCTCCCTGTGGACGAGGCCTCTGTCCCAGAGCTTTGGAGGCTGAAGGGCCTTGTGGATTCCCGCACTGGCCACAGTCTCCGATGCAGATGGGGAACTGGGGACCTGGGAGGGGTTGCCTAGCCCAAGGCCACATAGCTGGGCGGTGGCACAGCCTTCACTCACACAGGGACATTCCATCTTCCCAGGGACTTCACACTGGAGGCTAAGAGCCCCACTTTGCACACCACATTCAGGGGTAGATTCTGTGTGTGACTAACAAGTTCTCTTAGGGTTCCGAGGTAACAGGACAGCAAATGGATGAGTGAGAGTTTCCCTCACCCCACTGAAGTAGGACCATTCTCTGTGGAGGGTTGGTCCCCTGACTTCCTCTACTCTGTCATCTCCCTAGTGACTGATAGGGGTCCTGGGGTCTCTTCCCTGGAATCCCATGAGGGACAATTCCTTTCCTGAAGGGAAGGTATAGAGAGGACTAGCAGGTGCCTGGTGATGGAAAGTCCCCATAATCAAGAGACATTGCCTCCCCCCCCCGGCATGATAAATATCTGGGTTTCCAAATGGGAAATCTGTCTGTGATGAGAGCTCAGGAGGGGCTTCTGGAAGATGGAAAAGGGCTAGAGGCTGAGGCCACTGCTTATCTCCCCACACTGTATCTGGCTTCACCTCCTGTGTTTGTCCTGACCTCTTCCTTCACTCACCTGGATAAGTAGGACCCCAAAGTGGGCCTCCAGACAGGAAGCAGTGGAGAGTGTGGAGCTGCCCTGTCTACCACCCTACACCCTGACACCACTGTCATACTCAACCTCTCTTTTCCTCTTTGTGTTTCTCATTGCTTCATTTTGTCTGGAATCCCTAAGATTCCCATGTCTCCAGCAGGCTGTCCCTCAGACGTGGCTATATGATTTAGTGTTTCACAGGGCATGCAGCAGGCATGGGCTACCCCCAGTAACAGTGGTCATCTAGGGCTGATCACTCACAGGCAGAGCCATCGACAGAGAGCTGCAGCATCTAGAGGTCCCATCACCAGCCCCAAGACCCAGAGAGAAGTTGGCCTGAATGCCCCACTCTGTCTCTGCACCCCAGTGAGCCAGTGTCCAGGGGCCTTACCTTCCTCGTTAGAAGGCACAGGTCAAATGAGCTTCCAGAGCTGCAGAGCAAAGTCACATTCTCTCCATCATTACTTACTGCAGGGCACAGTTGAGCTGAGAAGGAAGGTCTCTTGTAGACGCCTGGGGAAAAAAATAGTCCTTGACTGTCGAGCACAAGCCTTACCCAGCCTATCCTCAGGGCATGAAAAAGGCATTCTCTCCACCTGTTCTGGGGAGCACACTCTGTTACCCACTCGTGCCTCTCTCCATCTCAGTTCTAGCTCTACAAGCTGGCTCATCATGTGTGTGTTTTCCTGTCTGTCTTTGCTCAGCTTTTCCTTGAATCTCTTGCTTTTTGCCGGTGCGTGTGTGGCTTTCTGCCCTTAGAACCATATGAGATTTAGGGTTCTCCTGGCACATAGAACTGTTTACTTTGAGGACCCTCAGAAAACATAGCCCTGGGCTAAGGCTCCCTGTCCTGGAACTAGAAGGTTATGGGTGTCACCATTTCCCAACAGCATGTCTGAAAGTGCCAGAATCTTCAAAGAGTCTGCAACATGTTTGTAGGATCTTTATAGGGTCTGATATTGCAGGGACCAACCAAAGTGCCCTCACACCCCAAGACGCTGGAAGTGACCCCTTGCTGAAAGTGGTTGGAAGTTTCACATAGAAGTTTGAGTTAAGCCACATTGCTGAGCAATGCCTCAGCATCCCAGTCTTCATCCAGACCTTCCAGGAGCCTGGCTGGAGGGGGTGTCTCTGGTGTGTCACTGAGCCTTATAGCAGAGGAAGGGGGCTATGGTGGAAACTACCTCCAAGATACCACTCAGTCCTAAGCTGGGGAACAAGCTGAGCTTGGATTCTGGTAGTGAATGAACCGGGAAACATTTATTTGAAGGGTTCTAAGAGTAGCATCGTGTGGGTGCGTTAATTGTATGTGAAGGGGAAGATCCTGAGAAAACAAGAGCTGCTCCACTCTGTGCCTGGGTTTACCAGAGGGACCGATGAGGTCCTCACAAGACCCAGGAATCCCACCGGGGGAAGGAGGCTTAGGGAGATGTGTTTAAGACTGTTAAGTGAGTCACAGACAGAAGCAGATCAAGCCATCCCACCACCTAGGTTTGTGGTTTTGTTTCTCCTAAACTTCCTTTCTGTAAGTAGCAGAACCTTCTCATCACCATCCTTCAAAACCTCTGCATTGTTTGAGCTCCTTGTATTTTCTGGAGATTAATCTCTTGCTTGCAAATATTCTTTCCCATTCTGTAGGTGGTCTCTTCACTCTGCTGTTTGTTTCCTTGATTGTGCAGAAGGTTTGCAGTTTGCTATGATCTCATTTGCCTATTTTTGCTTTTGCTGCCTGAGCTTTTGAGGGTTTTTTTTTTTTGTTTTTTTTTTTGAGACGGAGTCTCGCTCTGTCACCCAGGCTGGAGTTCAGTGGCATGATCTCAGCTCATTGCAACCTCCGCCTCCCGGGTTCAAGTGATTCTCCTGCCTCAGCCTCCCTAGTAGCTAGGACTACAGGCGAGTGCCACCACACCCGGCTAATTTTTGTATTTTTAGTAGAGGCAGGGTTTCACCACGTTTGGCCAGGCTGGTCTCAAACTCCTGACTTCAAGTGATCCACCCACCTTGGCCTCCCAAAGTGCTGGGATTACAGGCGTGAGCCACTGCGCCCGGCGTTGTATTGGATTTTTAATTCAGCCCTATTTTCTCCGACATTTGATATTGGCATTTTTGTCTTTTTTGGATATGCTAGGATCATGGTGTCATAATTTAATTTTAATTTTTATTTTTATTTTAAGTTCCGGGGTACATGTGCAGAATGTGTGGGCTTATTGCATAGGTCAATGTGCGCCATGGTGGTTTCCTGCACCTGTCAACCCATCACCTAGGTATTAAGCCCAGCATACATTAGCTATTTTTCCTAATGCTCTCCCTACCCCTACCCCACCCCCCCCCCGACAGGCCCCAGTGTGTGTTGTTCCCCTCCCTGTGTTCACGCATTCTCATTGTTCAGCACCCACTTGTAAGTGAGAACATGCAGCGTTTGATTTCCTGTTCCTGTGTTAGTTTCCTGAGGATAATGGTTTCCAGCTCCATCCATGTCCCTGCAAAGGACATGATCTTGTTTCTTTTTATGGCTTCATAGTATTCCGTGGTGTATATGTCTCACATTTTCTTTATCCAGTCTATCATTGATGGGCATTTGGGTTGATTCTATGTCTTTGCTATTGTGAATAGTGCTGCGATGAACACATGTGTGCATGTATCTTTGCAATAGAATGATTTATATTCCTTTGGGTATACGCGCAGTAATGGGACTGCTTTTACCTGTGCCAAAATACTGAAGTAGAAATGATTATTCACTCTAAAATGGAAGGTAATAAGATGTATACGTGAGCTATCAGATGCCTGGTGCTTATGAGTGAAGACAAGTCTGTCCAACGCTTCCCAACCCTGCATTCAGGGATGTCTCGTTGGCATCTTGATTATGGCCATGAAAAAAGAATTTACGTCAAGGAAATTGGTAAATGCCACTAATCATAGCATTTCAAAAAATGTCTTTTTCAGAATTAGCATACCATTGGGTCGTGACTTCAAATGCCAGTGTGTTGATTCCAGGTGGTGATATTTCAGGAGAAACTACACAGATAGCATCTGATAAGGAGGGAAGAGCTCATAGGGTCCACACAGGAGGTGAGGGCATCACGGTGCATTTATCTTTTCCTGGTCGGACTCTGATCTTCTCCCGTTGAATTAGTTCCTAAACCAGGTGCGGAACTCTGAACTGAAGACATGAAGACCCAGTAAAGTACACCAGGAAGTGTGGCAATGAGAAATGAAGAGGACTGTGTGACACGCCATGGACCAGAGCATGCAGGTGTGCAGAGGTGTGGACCCAACGCTGCCATGTGGGATGGAGCCTCATGTCTAAGTGTGGGAAAAGAGGCAGATCCAACCAAGGAAAGTCAACATTAATGGAGAGGAAAGGTATCACATTTTAATGGTTCTCCATGGATCACCCCAGAAAATGTCCCTGCACTCGGACATTGATTCCTTCCTCTGGAAATGACCAGCAGACAGTCCAGATAGCATCGGCCCTAGATTTTCTTCCAGAACCTCCTGGGATCATCAGATCTGTTCCTGAGGCTTCACGACTCTATAAAGTACATTATCCTCTCTGCTGTTCACCTCCCGGCTGCATCTTGGGAAGCTTCTCTGGCTGTGCCAAGCCTCAAATGACAGAATCCCGAGGACCACCAGGATCAAGCCAGCCACGCCCATGTGGATGAGATTCTCCACTGCGTAATCCTGAAGGTGTGAGGCTGGGGATGGTGGACAAAGAGGTCACAGAGGTCAGGGTGGATCAGATTGTCCACCCAGGGCACCCACCTCCCCTTCACAGGACCCAACCCTCAGTGCCAGCCCCATCACTGAGAGTATCTCCTCACATACCAGTCTCAGAGTCAGACTTGTTTTGTGATGGGCTGAGGGTATCAGCTGCTCCAGAGAATCAAAACAGAGAAAAAGAGACCTGAGCCCAGCCTCTCACCTGGGCTCTGCAATTTTTTTTTTATTACTTAATGTCTCATGATGTGACTTTTACAGAATTTCTAAAAAAAAAAAAAAAAAACCTCTTCCTCCGCTAGCAGGATTCCCTCTAGTCTCCTCATTGAACGATTTCAGTTTTCCTGTGTTCTATGGATTTAAACATTGCTCCTGAGTCATCTGGGAGAGAGTTTTCCTGCATCCTGAGAGCTCAGGATCTGCAAGGAAAGTGGTCCCCAGTACAGAGGTCACTAAGGCCTGTGTGCTCTCTGTGCAGCCTGGGACACAGGAGAACATGAGCCAACTCCCCCGGAGATGAGAGTTTCACGGATCCACCAGCTGAGGACCCAGGCTCCGTGGATGAGGGTTAGTCATCAGGGGAGCCTCAATGTCAGAAGCACAAAGGGGTGAAATTCTGGGGCTGCCTCCCCTTCATGCCCTCAGCCACTTCACCTGGAGTTTCATTGTCCATTTAATCTCTAGGTAGCTAATTATTCGTATAGGCAGCAACAGGTAGAATGTGATACACACACAGAAAAACACAAACACAAATATATATCTGTTTTATATATATAGTGGGCCTTAAAAACTATCTCTGCCTTCTTGAAGTGTGGGTTCACCTGGAGACAAACAGCAAACATATAGAAACACAGCAGTGGAAATTTACTAGTCGTAGCAATGGTTTTAGATATATTGGTAGAGACCTATATTTATGTGTGAATATATATTATTTGTATAGATATACGGATAACTAGGTTTCAATGTCACGTAAGATGTTGGTGTGACCACACACGCGCACACACACACACACACGTATATGCAGAGAGTGGAAGAGAGAGAGAAGGAATTCAGCCGCATGGTGTAGGTTGGTTAATTACTTGACATAAATGAGAAGCAGGCAGGACTGGGCTGAGCTGTGTCGTCAGTGAAGGTCACACTTGGAGGTGACATTGAAGCTGATTCCTCAATAGGAAAAAGGGCCAGGAAGGAGGCGTGTGGAGACCCAGACAGGGAGCAACAGAGGCTCCAGAAAGAGCAGGTCCCAGAAAGGTCTCAGCCTGTTCTTCAGAAAGGAATGGCCGCTTGTCTACAGGGTGGAGGAGGAGGCAGAGGAGGAGGGGAGATGAGCTTCGGGGCCTTGGTGGATTGAGAATAGGCCAGGATGAACCGGCCAGGAAAGAGCGGCCCCAATATCTCTCTCTCTGTCTCTCTGTCTCTGTCTCTGCCTCTCTCTCCCTCCCTCTGAGGTCTGGAAAGTGCTGTAGGGTTTCAAGGAGTGGTACCAGTCATTTGACTTTTTCTGAAAAGATAAGCCCTACCCCCTCCATAGCAAATGTCCAGAACGAAGGAAGTCCACATTTCTACCTGAAGTTTACAAAACCTCAGGGAGCACGTGAGATCAGGGCTATTACGAAACCGGGTGAGAATAAAAATAGGTGATGCTGCAAATCTACTTTCACCAGCTTGGACAAAAAGGCCAATATGAGATTTTAAAAACCCAAATAAAAAATGTCAACGGCGCAGAAGAGGAGCGGTGCACATTCCCTGAGCTGCTGCGGGAGCACGTGCAAGTCCCTGTGAGGCTCAGGTGTGCGCTGAGTGCTGGGGAGGCTGCAGGGGAAAGCAGGAAGTGGGGCGGGGTGGGGGGGGGTCGGGGGTGGATGCAGGTGGCACCGGCAGCCTGGATGCTTCTCTCTCCAGGAGGGCGTCTGTTGGGGACTGGGACACAGAGGCTCTGATTCTGAGGTGGAGACACCAGGATGGGAGCAGGTGGGGCCTCCGTCTTCCACCCTCAGTCTAATCTCAACTCCTTTGAGGTTCACCCCCCGTCTCCTCCCAGCCCTCCCTGCACTTTACTCTACTGAGACTTCAGGGGTGGGAGCCAGGGGTGGGAGGTCCCTGTCTATTTCCATCTTCCCATGGGCTGGACCCTCCCCTGCGGACCCTCTCCCTTCACTCCCCTCTTTCCTTAGTGTCCAGAGCTCTGCTGGGGGCAGGGCCTGAGCTGAGCCTTTGAGCTCAGAGAGGACAGGGTCAGCGCCCTCACCTGAGACCACGAGCTCCACGGGGCCACTGGGGTGAGACAGCAGGTAGGGGTCGGAGCTGAGTGAGCCGTAGCACCTGTAGGTCCCCGTGTGGGCTGAGGTCACAGGACTCATGGGGAATTC